>NC_000011.10:38241818-38393333 GCF_000001405.40 Homo sapiens | reverse complement strand
AAACACATGGAATATATTGAAGTCTTTGCTTATTGAATGCAGTTTGCAGGAAACACTGCCTCATTCTGTATACCACACACATACCTATGTTCATCAGAATTCACTAACCCTAGAAGTTAAAATAATTAATAATTAGATATAGACTGATATAATATGAAGATCATGGCCTTTGTGATTAAATGTGTTTTGATTTATATCTTAAATCCATGGTTAATGAAATTTATATTTGAGAATGTTAATTAATAACTGTGAAACAAATTTCCCAATATAAATGAAAGGGTTGGTTTATTTACAATGTAGCTAATAAATATAAAGGAGGCATTTAACTAATGTTAGTTCTTCTCTAGGAATTCTTTCCTTCATAGGAGGGCGCATATTCATTCTGTAAGATATACTAAAGTAACGTGACTGCAGGATGACAATTGCATACAGAGAACGAAGAACACAAGAACCAGGACAAGTAGCCTACATTTTGCATTCTAAATTTATCTTTAGTAATTACATGAATGTGACCATAATTCCATTCTTTTCCAAAATCGAGACCATTTAATGATAAGACTAATTCATTTCACATATGAAATATTAAGTTTTTACTGAAACCATGACCTCTTTATGAGTTTTACTCTTTATATTTTTATTTTACTAAGAATTATAGATAAACTCAAACATGAGTTAAACATCAATGATGAGCCATTCATTATATGTGATGCTTTCTTATACTATATAGTTTAGAGCCAGAGGAAGTAATATTTAAATTTCAACTTTAGGAAAGATGACAATTATATAGCCACAAGGGTAAGGGGAGTTATTTTCAGATAAAATTGACTTGAGAGGAAAGTACAGAAAATAGTTTTTAAAAACTCCCATCACTCTAGTGTTAGTTACTGAATATATTGGAAATGTCAACTTCAATACATATTTTACAGGTGACTCAGTGTGTGGTGGAAATACAATGCAATTTGGGGCAGGTCAAATTTCAGTTAAGTTGGAAGACAAGTACTATGTAAATTTGAGTCCTTATGTTTAGTTAGCACTAGAAGCCTAAGAAGAAAATACCAGCGGAGTAAAACAATTACAGCCTAAGTGCTGAAAAACTTGGTATTTATAGAAGGATAGAAGAAGAAAGTAAAAATGAGCAGCCAGAGAAATAAGTGTAAATCAAGAGAAAGTTATGATACCACAGGTATCAAAAAACTGTATTGGGTTAAGATTAAGAGAGTGGCTAATTGTTGCAAGGATGGCAGAGAGCTCAGGTATCCCTGTAGTTGAAATGTCCATTGAACTTTTCAACACAGAAGTCACTGGCTTTAGGCTAGCAAGTTTGATAGAATGTTCAAGGCAGCATTTATATTGGAGTATATTTAACAGGGTTAATAGTAACAGAAGACATACAGACTGCTTGGATAATCCCAATATTACTTCATTTTGAACATGGGCAAGGTTATCTCTTCTCAGGCTCCATATAAATAGCAAAAAATAAATGGTTTAAGAACATCATCAAGTTGATGAGGACCAATGACAAGCAGCCCTTCAGGCTTAAGATTTAAAGAGATGCTTGTAAAAGCAAATAGGTAACTAGTTAAATGACAACAGTATGCATATGCTTTCAATATGGGTAAACATTAACATAGACTTAAATTCTAGTGTATTTCAAAAAAAAATCTATGATTCCATGTTAGACTTTTTAGTGTAAAGTCTAGAAAACGTACCATTCAAGAAATAAAATTGGTCATATTTAGATTATACAGTACATTTTAGAACTTAACCCTTTTTAAATGTAGTTCAGGAAAGCCTGAGTTCTAGGAAGAAAAATTAAGATAGAATTTACAAGGAGAAATTAATAAGGAATAAAATGAAATATAAAAACCGTTTATAATATTTTATCAACATTAAAGAAATGTATAGTTAGTATTGAACCAATAGCAGACAAATTCAGAATGAAACTTCATCAAATATTTGGAGATAATGAAGGAAAAAATTTTAATATCTCTGCTTATTAAGGCTGGAGAAACAATAAAAAAGATGAGAAAGAAGATGGTGTCTACAGAGAGCAGATAATAAAAGTCCAACATTTTATCGCTGAGAAGTTTAATAAAGTAAAATGCTTGTGCAAAAAAAAAAAATAATAAAGGAATATTTGAAGAAATCCTTGTCAGTCTTATTAAAAGTCTATTCTGATGATTTAAGATTTCCCTTGATAGGCCAGGCACGGTGGCTCACGCCTGTAATCCCAGCACTTTGGGAGGCCGAGGCGGGCAGATCATGAGACCAGGAGATTGAGACCATCCTGGCTAACAGGGTGAAACCCTGTATCTACTAAAAATACAAAAAATTAGCCAGGAGTGGTGGCGGGCGCCTGTGGTCCCAGCTACTCAGGAGGCTGAGGCAGGAGAATGGCGTGAACCTGGGAGGCGGAGCTTGCAGTGAGCCGAGATAGTGCCACTGCATCCAGCCTGGGTGACACAGCAAGACTCCGTCTCAAAAAAAAAAAAAAAAAAAAGATTTCCCTCCATATCAAGTCATGTAAAAGAACAAATCTTTTATCAATGAATTACCCTTTGTTAAGTTGTGCTTCATAACAAATAATTTCAAAGTCTCAGTGCATTACAACAATATGTATCTTCCTAAAATGTTATGTTTTTTGTAGATCAGCTGCTATAACTTTTCTGGGGTGTAGGATGGGTTCATATTAGCTCTCTGGCTCTTATTTCTGGCTAAGAAACAGACGGTTTCTTGGTGGTGAACACAAAAAATATGAGAGCAAGAAGCTGAACCAAATTTCTTAATAACAGTAAAATATTTTTGCTCAGCTATGTCATATATAATATCCTTTCACATTTCACTGATGAAGATAAATCATATGGTCACATCCAACTAACAGTTTGTTATAGGATTATCCCCTCTTAGGGTTAATAAAAGAGAGTGAATGTTTGTGAGTCATATGCTGTACCACATTAGATATAATCTGGTAATGTGTTTGAGTTTTAAATATATAAAGATGTTACTTTACATATATGCTTTCCTATATAGTCCATATTGTATACACAAATACATAGTTAATATTGAACTAATAGTAGACAAATTCAGAATGAAACTTCAATCAAACATTTGGAGATGATGAAGTAACAAATTTTAACATTTCTGCTTTTTAAGGCTGGCAAAACAATAAAGAAGATGAGAAAGAAGATGGTGTCTATAGACAGCAGAAAATATATAAAAGAACAATATATAAAATAAGGAGTATACATAAAAATATATCTGGAAAGAGTAACTAACATTGAGTCTTCACAAAAAAGAGTAAATTTATTAAATAAATGAACATCTCCCCATCTTCAGAATTTACTTACAAAACAATGGTATCAGAATAAAATGGAACTGTATATACAGAGTTCCTGAAAAATAATAATTTTAAATTAATTATTTTATTGTTTATGAGAATAAACAGCATAAGACATAAAATAGTTTAGATGAATTACTTCTTAAATAATCTTCATGATAAAAATGTTGAAGACATATATCAGAGTGTATTAAGAGGTAAATTGGAGTTACTTTTTTAGGCTGGCATAAAGTAATCATTATGAAGTTTTGAAAAATAGCACGATGTGGAAATTTAATTTAGCAGTGTTGTAAATGTAGTTGCAAAACAGTATGTTGGCGAAAATAATAACATAATGGTAGAAATCTGGCTGCAAATTTCATGGTATGTGAATCAAAACCAGTAATTAAAGTGGAGATTGTCTAGAGGAAGTAATATAATAGTACATTACATTTTTAATAATGAATTGAACATAGAAAAGAGATAGAGTACAAGTAATTTGAGAATATGAGTTTATGCATACTTACAAATCTCAATCTTTGACATAAGTAGACAACAATAATATGCATTAGTTTATAAGTAGGGAAAAATTCAATTAAGAATACTTAATGAAATTAAAACTGAATGGTTTAAATCAATAGCTTTTTAAATTCACAACTTTGCCGATTAGCAATTTGAAATGAGAGCAGTTGCAAAGTTGTTCTAGTCCAAATCTTGACTGGCTAATCTTGGTTGAGCTCACTTGTACATCTGAGGTGAGTTGGTTTGGTATGTAAGTTTATAATGCCCTCAACTAGGATTTCTGGGAAAAGAGATCCACATGGCCTTTCAACCTAATGTCCCCAGAAAGTCTCATTTTGTGAGTAATAAATCTTTTGATATGTTCTCGATGAATGTTAAAGACTGAAAGTTTGTGTCCTTCCAAAAATTATTATTTTGAAGCCCTAAAGCCCAGTGTGGCTGTATTTGGAGATGGAGCCTCTAAAGAAGTAATTAAGAAGAAATAAGGTCATAAAGATGGGCTCTGTTCTGATAGAATAAGTGTTTTTCTAAGAGGAGACCCCAGAGAGCTTACTCTCTCTCTCCCTCTACACATGAACAAGGAAAACATTTGAGCATAGGGGAGATGTTGACACCTAAAATCCAAGAGATAAGACCCCATTATGAAACCTACCTTGCTGATACTTTAATCTGGGACTTTCTAGCCCTAGAATTTTAAGAAATAAATTTCTGTTGTTTATACCACCCAGTCTATGATGCTTTGTTATAGCAGCCTGAGTAGGCTCATACACTGAGCAAGGGACATCATCAGTCCTTACACCCAAACAAAATTTTGGGTACAGAATCGATTATATTTACTGTGGGGTAGTGTAAACATTTGGCAAGGTGAACAGGACACACAAGTGATGGTCACCACAACCAAGGACCTTTCTTCTATTGTTTTTGTTTGCTAACAGACTCTGTGGCCAGCAGGGGAGAATGGACTTTGGGGTGCTAGTATGCTTTCTGAGCTGTGCTGCTGCCTACTTCAGAGCTTGTGATTTGGGCTGTGTTCATTTGCTGAGTCCTGAGAAGTCTCTGTTATAGATTTAACTTAACTATCCTGGATTGGAACTTTCTAGAGTTGGCATTTAAGGGCTAGAGTATGACATTGGGGCCATCATGAATATGGCCCTAGTTGTGTGTCTTGGCCCAGTCCTATCTCTGTCTTAGATAGAATCATGTGTCTTCATTCTGGCATAAGCCATGACTGATGATTGGCTTAGGGGAGCAACTTTAGCCTGTGACTGTGTTTGTTTGTTTTTTTGTCTTAACAAAGCATTGGCTTTCATTCTGTACAGTGCTTAAGGGAGAGACTGAAAACCTATGCCACACACAGGCCAGTCATGTGGTCAGTAGGAAACATAGTCACCATATGGCACTCTGAGGTCCACATTTCTAAAAGGAGATGGCTGTAATCACCCTTCAAAATGCCTTTGATGTTCCTAATACTCAGGCTTATAAAGGAAAATGCACATGGCACCCACATGGCACAGCCAAGAGGTTAATTAAACCTGAATTAAGTCTGGGATCCCTAAGCCCAGTAAAGCAACAATTGCCATGGAGAAGACCTCTAACCATGATGAGTTTCCTCAAAGGAAAAAAACTTACAAATATTAGCAGGATAGAGAGGACTTGCCCTTTGAGGTATGTCCAGTAACCACATAGTAAAAATGAATAAGCAATAGATACATTTTTTTTAAACTGACTAAAATGGAAGAAAAAAATCTTTGTAAAAAACATCAATGATTTTTCCCAAACTGGAAATCCAGAATATGCTAAAATAATTAACACAGCAAAAACGTAAAAGGGCATTGAATGGCTTTCGCACTTCAAAACTCGGGTTCTGTATTTACTTTAACATCTGCTGAAATACACCAATTGGCAAAACTTCTGTGTCTTTATCAACACCAGAACATGAATGACAGTTACATTTGGAAAAATCTGAGAATGTGATGTATCCCCTCTCCTCACAGAGGAGTTAACAAACAAAATAGCAAACAGGAATGGCTGCAATTAACCATCAGAACTACTGCTTTGCCTAAATTTTCTATATTCATGGAGCTCGTTGTCCCCATAATAAGGACATGGGTTCTGACAGAACAAATAATATATTCAGTAATAATAACATTCTGACATAACAAGTATTATAATACATTAAATAAAATTAAATGTACACTTAAATGTACACTTCTATAAATGTGACACTCAAAACCATGTGTATAAAATGGAATTCCATGGCCTTCCCTTCTGGTTAAAATAATTAACATAAGCTGTGGTAAGGAAAATAATGGTCCTTCATAGATGTCGTTTTCTAAGCCTAGAACCTATACATTATTTTATATTAATTATTATACTATATTACTAGGAGAATTCAAGCAGCAGATGAAATTAAGGCTGCTAATCAGCTGATGTTAAAATAGGGTTATCCTGGATTATCTGTGTGGGTCAACATAATCTCAAGGGTTCTTAAATGTAGAAGCTGAGACAAAAGGGAAGGTTAAGGTAATGTGTGAAGAACTTGACCCACAGCTGCTGGCTTTGAATACTGAGGAAGAGGGCCACGACTAAAGGAATGTGGGCAACCTCTAGATTCTGGAAAAACCAAAAGAAAAGATTATCCCCTAGACTTTTCAGAAGGGATTTTGGCCCTCTCAAAACCTTGATTTCAGCCCAGTGAGGCCCAGTTTGGGAAATGGAACTCTACAGAACTATAAGATAATAAATGTATATTGTTTTATGTAACTAACTTTGTGGTTATCACAGCTGCTGTAGAATACCAATACACGGCTGAAATTAAAACAGGACCTTCAAGAATTCTAACAAGACCTGCTTAGAAAAGGGATGATTATCTCCATTGCTTCTCTGTTTAATAGCACCTTTTGGCCTATTCTTACACATAGAGAGAATAAATGGAGTCTCATGGTGAATTGCTGGAACTTTATTGCCATTGTTTCAACCACTGAATTTTTCATGGTAAATCTTATTGAAGCTAGTGACTCCATTGAATCATCAGCTGGTAATTGTTATGTTATTACAGATTTGTCTAAAATGTTTGTTTCCCTGCATTTTTCAATGCCTCTCAGGTACTGTTTTCTTTCCCTAGGATACCCCTGAGGAATCTCAACAGCCCTGCTATCACACTCAATCTTTGCAAGCAGCATCTTAACCTCATCCAGCATTCTTGAAGAAAACAGATATGGGCATTACATTGACGTTGTCCTCCCCAGGGAGATTCATTTGATAAACTCATTCAGTACAGACTAATACTCACAAATGATCTCACAAAAATGGGTGGGATATGGTTTTGCCCAATGTAGAAGTGCATGTGACTTTCACTAAATTCTTGGCATCATTTGATTCTCAAGGGCTACTCCATCTTAGAAAATGTCAAGAAAGAGTTATTGACCTGCTCAGAAATCACATTTTAATTATAATTATAAATTCAATATCTTTGGAAACATTTTGGATTCTGGAGGCATTGCCTTTCCTGTATGCAAATTTTATATAATTCTATTATTTTATTACTTCAAATCAGCCTACTTTAGACAACCCCTCAAACAATGGGTTCTAGAATCCGTGCACATTACAATGTAGTAGGCACTCCATTGCAATATAATAGGAACTTTCATTAGTGACCACCAGAGACTGCTTCAACAAACTCTCAACAAACAAGTTTCAACAAACTCTCTTCATGCTTACTGAAGTCTCTAGATCACCTACAATGGCTACAAATTCCTCAGGGTTCCTATATAATAAAACTACCCTCTTCAGTCCCACATTATACAACATAGAGTGAAAGCCAGCCACATATTGGGCTCTTCTGGAGATGGAGACTCTTGCAGGCTCTTCATTATTCATGCCTGTATTTGGAAATATTAGGCCATAAGCTTGTATAACCATCATAACCTCCTGTTCAAATGGAAGTGTTAACCGTAGGATAGAGCCCAACCTAGGCACTCTGATGTATGCCACCTGTATAAAGGGGTGACCTAATCTCTCCTCAGTTCTTTTCCAGATACAATGATGCCAAATGATGTCATCCATTTCCAAGACCCTTTGGTCACCTGTGGAGCCCTTTGAGATCACGAGTGAATAGCAAAGGTAGTTCATACACTTTACAGATGGTAGTGCCACCATCACACATGATGATGCTGAGTGGAAGGCTGCCAATTTTTACCCTTTAACTAGATTAGGATAACTGATAAAGGAAGAGACCCAAGGATGGGCCTGGTTCCCAAAACTTCAAAAAATCATTTTAACATTGGATATTGTGCCCATTGTATAGTCTTGGGCCACTGAAAATGGCCCTGTGGTCTGTACAATGGCAACAATTGCTTATCCAGATTTTTCCCCTGAGGGGTAAAGAACTCTAAGAATTTATTGCTTCACAGCTACCCAACACATACATCAGTGTTACACATCTCTCTGTGTACACTAAAACCAAAATATAAGTCCTCATCAAGACAGTTCTTACACCTTCTGAACTTCAAATGTTATGGTATTGTTTATATTTCTTGGGTAAAGAATGCAGTAAAAATTTGAAAAAAATAAATTCTCCTTAAATGCACACTCTGTTTTCCCAATGCCCTCACCAAGTTGGCAGGTTCCAGGAATTGTCCATCTTCAAGGAAATTCAAGGCACGATTACGAGAGAGCAGTCTCCTAGCAGCAATAACTTTAAATAAAAGCAGACAATCAAGATTGAGTCATTGTGTGGCCTGATCACCTTTCGGATATTGTGCATTACGAGCCAGCAGGCATTTTACCAGCAAAGTAGTCATTCTAATTTCCTGCTTTCATTTTGGAAATCTTACTTTACAGGATTAGACTCTTCTTTAGTGATTGAACATGATAAAATACCCTAGTGTTAATAGGTTTAGATTAAAAAAATTTACTAAATTTTAAGGAATTTTAAGTAGCTGGTTTTATTGAGTATCATGATATCATTGTGGAATTGGCTTTTCTGTGTGACTTTCAAATGTAATTTATTAATATATGAATAAGGCAGTATACAATTTGGTTGTTTATTAAATTAGTTTTCTCTTATATATGTGGATACCTATGTAGAAAAGAAAATTATAATTATCATTTCTGCCCTGTGTATATAATAGAAATAAATATATAAAAGAATAATGCTGATATATTATTAGGTCCATATTACATAATAGAAAATAAATAAAATAGAGGAAACTCTCTTTTCATTTCTTTAGCCCAAGTTAAATTAGCATCCATAGCTCAGCATTTATGATTGCCATTAAGGTATGTATTCAATGGACTAGCCTACTTTTTCTTTAATTTAACATTACACTATAAAATAGTTCTCATTTATTAGATTTCAGAATTGCCATGTAAATTGCTGTGTAATATATTATTTATAGAACTCCTTACAAATATTTTCCTATAATAACATGGCTCATAGAAGTGACAGCTGTGACATACTGCCAGCATCATAGGGATTCATTAAGGCTGCAATTTTTCAGGGTCGCAGATGAGGTATAGAGATAAAAGGTGGTATAAAACTAGGAGAATATAGCCTCACAGTTTGTTTTGATACACAGTTTTATAATGGGGAGTATTTAAAAATCACTCCCCTACCAATGAGTGTGAGGATGCACTACAATTTTCTCTCATGGATATTGACTTCCAAAATTTTGTTGTTTTAAATTCATCTGTTTAAATAGGCAAACCCTGCATAATTTATTATTATTTTTTAAATTTTATGTTTAATTTTTAAAACAAATACCCAGTGATTCAAATGCTGGGTAGAAATAAAGCATTTTGCTTGTCTTGTTTTTCTTTATATTTTTGAGTTAGATTGTTGTCCAGAAGTACTGTACCTATTACAACTACTTTGATCCAGTTTAATGCATGAATCAACATCAGATAGCTATCTGGAAGAGTAGGTATTAGCAGTTATTATATTACTTTCTAACTCAGTTGGCAAAATTGGCACCCTGGGATAATTTATATTTCTGTGATCACTACTGCTTCTATGAGCAGAGCACATAATTTAGGCCTAAGCCAAGCAACACACTGTATGACTTATATTCATTGGTTGGTTAAGAGAGCAGTATAAATTAAATCTATCAGCATATATGCCAGTACTATTCACTGGGAATTCTAGACTAAAATTACTTACTGTTTGTTGTGAGTGACTTGGGGTAAATGTGGTCACTAGAGCTGCTGTCTGTCATCTAGAGGTTCAAAAGAGAGAGACTTTCTAAAACTGAAGTCAACACACAGTGAGAAGTGCTGAAAAATATTGAGCAAGATATCCTCTGTCCACATGGACCAAAACAAAACAAAATAAATAAATTACTACTTAATGAGGGAACAATTTCTTTGGTGGTTTGTTTAAGTCAACTTGAACTGAGTTTGACTTAATGAGAAAACAATTCCTTTGGTTGTTTGTTTTAGTCAACTTGAATTGAGTTTGGTAACTTTCAAGTAAACAAGCTCTAACTAGCATTTACTGTGAAGAGCATTGTTAAGTGTCAAGTCAAAAAATCCAATAGCCGTACTTGGGAAGAGTCTGATGAATAGAAGAAAAGATCAACTATGTGTTTCACAGTAAGCAGAAGGTCAAGATAACCCAACTTTTATAATGTCATTCTTTATGCCCTGATGGAGGAGTAAAAGGGCATGTGGAGAGAGCTTCACTTGGGTATATCATGCTGGGTCTGCTTTTTCATTTATCATTCTCCTCATGCCCAAGACATTTTTTAGCGTTCAAAGAAAATGGAATAGTTCCTATGTCCCAATGTAAACGTGATTTTTATCTAGCTATACAAATAGAAAAAAAATAGGCCCACCATAGTTCCTTTTTTCTTTTTAGTTTCTTTACCATTTAATTTTTGAAGGACAATTCCTTGCAGAATCAGTAAGATATGTCTTTTAGAGCAAAAAAAAAAAAAAAAAAAAAAAAATAGATGTCGTTGTCCCCAAGTAGACAGTTGCTGTGAGAGATGGACCCAAAGATCCATATAAAATAACTGACTTTGAAAAAACCAACAAGGTTATTTCAGTTCGAGTGTCATTTATGATATATCCATCCAAGTATCTACATATCCATCCATGTATCCATCCATCCCTGTCTGTTTATCTATTATATCTATCTTAATTATATATTTAAATATTTTTATTTAAATATCTTTACAATTATGACATTTTTCAAACATTTTATAATAAGCTTTAGAAGTTAAAATCATCATCCTTTTTCTTTCACTCTTATTTTGTTCTTATTTCAAAGTCTGATACAATTTCTAAGTTAATTCCCAAAAGGGATCCTTCTGTCTACTGTAATTTATGTCTTTTATCTTCACTTTAAATGTAGCATCATTTTATTTAGCAGATCTTATGTTCTGGCACTTCTGCTAACAATTCTCTATCTTGATTTAAAATTACCAGAATGTCAGAAAAATAAGCTGTCTTAAATTTGCACCATTTTTGTTACCTCTTTTCATTTATATTTTTGCCCTTTACCTAAAAACCCACAAAGAATCTGAGACAGAATCATAGCTATATTTTTATAACAAACTTTGGCTAATTTTGAGTTTTATTTTAAAATTTGTAGTGTTTTAAACTTTGGAATTTGGTAGAATTGAGAATTAAAAACTGGAATTGATAAACTTGGGTACAAGTTTTTAAAGACAGAAGTCTAAATGGAGTAGTCTTGGCTAAATATTTCTTTTCTTTTATCAATTTTATAATTATTTAATACCCTGATTTCTCTACAAATAGACTTTTGGTATTTTGGACCTGAAGCAGTTTTTATTTTTCTTTGGTTGAGGCTAGTTAAACTTAATCATCTATGCTTATGTAGAATAATACACATTCCTTACCTTATCCCTGTTTTCTTATGTGAGATTTATTCATGTTATTACTGAAGTGCACAGAATAGAGAAAATTATCTTATTATTTTATTGTGCTAATTGTGACTTTGTCAATCAAAATATACAAAGATTATAATATAAAATATGAAGTAAAATGTGAGCCAGAAGGGGACACACTAAAAATGACTTTCCCCCACTCTTGATATTCTTATACATGTTTTAGTTGTTAGTCCTGTTAATAAGAGATGATAAGACTGATGGGGAGTGTGAAGGGGATTGGAAGCAGATATTGAGAGGAAAAAAGCATCTACTCTTTGTAAATTTGCTAAAAGTTTCTTTATTTTATATTGTTTGTCATGATACCTCTAAAATTTTCTAATTTTCAATGATGAAAACTTCTTTCTAATTCTGGAAATTAGCCCCAAGATTGGGACAGTTACAGCCACAAAGAAATGAGCTAAGGGTATGTAGAAAAGTAAGTTGAAAGCATGAGGGAATTTTAAGGAAAGATAAAGAATATCCCTAGCTGTAAGAACAAGAAAAAGAAAGAAGTCCACTTTCCCTAAGCTAGATGGATCTGCTTTGAGAGAAAACATTCAAAGGGCAACAGCTTCCTGAAGGCAGCAGTTGTTTCTGTTTATATTTATACCTCTTACATTTCATGCAGTACTGCCAAGTGGTAGCTACTCAAAAAAAAAGATTAATAAAGTAAACTATATATGACTGGGTCAACCTGAATATTTGTTCTTTAGATAAGCAAACTGAATTTCAGAGACCGAAGCAACTTGAGGTTTGTAGCAGAGATGGGTCTCCCATGTTGGCCTTCTGACTTTCTGTATGGCTTTCCTTCCATTCTGCTTGGAATGTGCCAGGCCCATTCATTTAAAAACTGGAAATTTTATTGTATATTTTCTGATGTTGATTATGTACTAAAATGTTCATTCATTCATGCTTTCTTTCTCAAAGGCTTTAGACCTATCTAGACTAATGCTTTTAAACTATTCTCTCCTCAATAATCACTTTTAAAATCATTAAAGGCAATGATACTGTCCAGGGCTGCTTGCAGTATAAGGCTTTGATCACCAAACACTTGCTATTGTCATACTTCCTAAGCCATATCAGTTAAACATTCAATCTAATTAAATACATTTTCTCTCCTGTTATATAGAAATTCTATAGCTGCCATTGAATATAAGTATAGAGACTCTTCTGTAAAATGTACATTCTCTTTGAATTTTGCACTTAGTTACATGATTGTATAAATCTTCTACCACCCGTCCATGTATACCAAGATTAAGATGTTATATATTTACATCAAAAATAAAAAACAGAACCAGAGACGTGAAGTGACTTAAATAAATAACATAGAGGCTAATAGACGTAGAATTGCTCCTCTTTCCCCTCAAATTCATTCCAATTTTCCTTCAAAGTCTTAGTTATGATAAAACTTCTGTATATACTTATAGATTGCATAAATATAATTGAATCTGGAACATTTATTTACATACCATAAAAAGATACAGCTTATCAAATAATAGCTTATCAAAATAACAATGAAGGTATTTATTCTTCAAAGAATTGTCATCTTACGACTAGAAAATGTCTGCATATTTCTTCAGTGTTATAATGTTCTAATTTATTTTTAATTAAAAATAATAAGTATTTTTAGTTCACTTAGATTTCTTTGGGTTAACACAAAATAAATTTTGGTAAATGTAAATACATTTAGTTCACAAAATGTTATTGTGTGATGCTATTTTCTCAATAGACAAATCTTACAACTACTTTATTGTTGCCAATTTTCTACAGCAATAAATATTAAAAGAGCTTTAAATATATTTTCATATGTATTTAAATTAATAAACTTTGCACTTTACATCAGTTTTAGGTTCAAGCAAAATAGAACCTAAAGTGCAGAGTTCCCACATAACCCCCATCCCCACATATACACAACCTATACCACTATTAACATCCCATGGTGTCTTTTCTATACTTTTGAGTTGGAAAACAATAGTATTAAAAAATTCAAGGAAACATATAGATTTTTATTGATAAACATGTGAAAGAAAACTTCCACTCAAAATATTTATTTGCACGTTCAAAGCAACCCTTACTAAGAAATCAGCACACAGAATCAAGAAGCTTTATAAAATATACAAATCATTTGAAAGGAACAGTCAGGGGAAAGAGATGGATAATTATTAGAAGAAACAATTATGAGTAGTTAGGAACACAATCACAACACTGTTCGTCTTGTGCTGAGAACTGTTATAAATTTTCCAATTATACTACATTGCTAAATAGTTACATTGAGACTTGGCTTTGTATTTTTTAATACACAAAGGATATCTTAAACTGCAATTTTATGCTCATATTCATCATAAAGTTGTGTTATATGTTTAAATATAAAAAAAAACTTATGCCTTCCTGACTCACCACCTTCAATAAGAGAAGAAATCATTGGCAGTGTCATCAATATTACCTTAACAAACCAAAATAATTCCATATTTCATATTTATTTTTTCTGTCTTCTGCCTACTTCTAAACAATCTATGTCCTAATAGCCTTGTGGTCACAGAGTATAGGCCCCAACATTTTATAGTATTTCTTTAGCAATAATGTAACAAATGTTAATATATTTTTTGAAAATTAATGAATAGCACATGGAAGAATTGATATACAGTGACATACAGTCCTCCATAGAAAGTTTTGTCAATTGTCTTTCTAAACAGTATCACTCACCTCTGAGATTTAATGCTAGTCTTGAATAAAGGGCTTTTTCACAGATTACTTCCAAATTCTCAATGTTTCATTGAGTTGTAAAGTACTTCAAATATGCAAACTAACTAATATTTAGAATTGGTAAAATACAGAGAATCGGAATTTGGATATGGTAGCTCTGTTGAAGTTTTAGTGGCTAATGAGTGATGCTGTATTTGACCTCTCAAGCTTATAATCCATTGAAAGTTTCTAAATTAGGGTTAATAGGTATATATATATATATATATATATATATATATATATATATATATATATAAATATATATATATAAATAAAATTATATTTGTCATTATTCTGATAAAGTTGATGCTGGTTAATATGACTTACTGTAAATATTAAGTAAGTTTTACAATTTTAAATCCACCTTCCTACTAGTCAAAGGCAGATCAAAACTAAGAAAAAAGGAAAAATAAAATGGCAGGAAAGGGCCAAGAGGTAATCAGAAACTGTGTTCCGAGAAAGCAGGATCTCATTAGAAAAAAGGGTAAAGTTCCAAATTACCACTTATTTCCTTCAAACACAAAAGTGTACTAGAATAATTCACCAGTATAATTGGAAGTGGTTATTGTCTGAAAAGAATATCCATGGTAGAGGAGGGTTTGCAATAAGTTTATGAAGAATGCTTGGATCTTACATGGCCTTCATAGCTATAGACAAGAAAGGAGTTCAGAAAGAGAGGATAATATCTATTCCTTCTATCTCTGTGAATAATTCTTAAATGTTTTCAATAACATGGAACTCTCAAAGAACAACAGACTCATAGATCTGTTTATTTAACACCTTCAATAGAACAGCTAATAGTCATATTAAATTAACTGTCAGAATCAAACCTTTTAATTTTTTATTGAAGTATAATTTACATAAAATAAAATGTACAGATTTTTAAGGGTACACTTTGATGAGTTTTAATAAATATATGTATATATATAACAAGCACATTGGTCAATATTTAGATTATTTTTATCCCATGACATCTTCCAGGTAAGCATCATTCTAATTTCTATCATTTGTTTTGATTATTTTAACCTGTTCTGGAGCTTCATATTAATGAAATAATATAGCATGCACTCTTTTGTATGCCTTCTTTCACACAACATTTTTTTGGATTTTTCTCATGTTATTGAATGCAACAGTAGTTTGTGTCTATTTGCTGCAGGTTAGTATTCCATTTATTGTATAAATAACATTGTTTTCATCTATTTACCTGGAAATAAGCTCTTAGATTTTTTTTTCCCACTGTTTGTATATTTTGAATGAAGTTGCTAGAAACATCCTTGTAAAAAATGTGGATAAATATTTTTGCTTATGTTTAGTAAATAACAAGAAGTGAAATGGCCGAGTCATATGATAAATGAATTTAAATTTAGAAGATATTTTCAAAATCTTTTCCAAGGTAGTTGTATCCATTTTAATTCCTACCAGCAAGTCAAGTGACAGCTTCAGTTGATCCACAACATTACCAACACTTAATATCAGTCTTAGTTAATTGTAGCCATTCTAATGTGTTGGTATTGTATGCTGATTTAAATTGTATTTCCCTACTGTCTAAGGATTTTGAGCATCATTTCATGTGCTATTTTTGTATCTTTATTTTTGTGTGTATGAACCTGTGAAGACTTGCACAGGTCTTTTGTTAATTTCATATTGGGTGATTTTGATTTGGTTATATTGTAGATGTAAATGTCAGATATATACAATATTTCTTTCTTCTAGTACGTTTTAAAATGTTATTAAGTGAGCAGAATTTTTTGAAGAAAATTAGCCACTTTTTTATTAGTAATTTTTGTGTCCTCCCTAAGAAATTTTTGCAAACCCAAATATCCTCCAGTAGATACCTTTAAGGCTTTATAAATTTAGCCTTTTATTTTTAGTTATTTTTTCCTATAAAAAATAATATGTGTGGGGTATAAGGTAGAATAATTATTAAAAGACTAGTTATCAAAGTGTTTCTGCATTATTCATTGAAAATACTTTCTTTTCCTTTTTCAAGTGCTATGGCATTTTTGTAAAAGTTAATTCTCTATATTAATGTAGTTTATTTGCAAGCATGCCATTCTATTGACTTAGTTCTCTTGTTTCTCCAAACTTTTTTTTGTTTCAAGAATTTTTCCAGGTCTTTTGAAATTTTAAGTATGTTTTAGGAAAAAATATGAATTTATACAAAAATATGGACATAATTTTGATTCAGACAGTGTTAAATATAAAGATAAATTTGGAGAAAAGTCATATATTAAAATACTGAATTTTGAAACAAAGTCACAGCAAACATCATTCCCGAATTGGGAAAAGTTGAAAGCAGCCCCACTATGAACTAGAACAAGACAATGATGTTCACTGTCACCAGTACCATTCAACATAGTACTGAAAGTGCTAGCCAGAGCAATCAGGCAGAGAAATAAATAAAAGTCATCTAAATTGGAAAACAGAAAGTCATATTATTTATATTCACTAATTACATAATCTTATACTTAGAAAACCCTGAAGCCTCCTCCAACAGACTTCTGGGCTTGATAAACAATTTCAATATAGTTTTAGGATAGAAAATTAATGAACAAAAATCAGTTGTATGCCTATACACTGACAACACTCAAGCTGAGAACCAAATTGAAAACTCAATCCCTTTTACAATAGACACACACACACACACACACACACACACACACACACATAAACATATACATACACCCCCGCCTAGGAATGCATTTAACCAAGGAGATGAAAGACTTCTACAAGAAGAACTACAAAACATGGGTGAAATAAATTATAGATGGCATAAACAAATGGAAAAATATATCATGCTCATGGAATAGAAGAATCAATATCATTGGCATGACCATCCTGCTCAAAGAAATCTACAGATTCAATGCAATTTCTACCAAATTATCATCATTTTTTACAAAATTAGAAAAAGCCAGCATATGAAACAAAAAAGAGCCCAAACAGACAAAGCAATCCTAAGCAGAAAGAACTGAGCTGGAAGCATCATATTACCTGACTTCAAACTATACTACAAGGCCACAGTAACCAAAACAGCATGGTTCTGGCACAAAAATAGACACATAGATGAAATGGAACAGAATAGAAATCCTAGAAAAAAACACTGCATACCTATAACCAACTGACATTAAACAAAGTTGACAAAAATAAACAATGAGAAAAGGATACCTTATTAAATGGCACTGGGAAATTTGGCTATCCATATGCATAAGAATGAAAATGGACCTTTATCTCTTACCATATACAAATATTAACTCAAGATGGAGTAAAGACTTAAATGTAAGACCTGAAACTATAAAAATCCTAGAAGAAAGCCTAGGAAAAACTCTTCTGGATATTGGCCTAAACAAAGAATTTATGACCGTGACCTGAAAAGCAAATGCATCAAAAACAAAAATAGACAAAGGATTAAATGAAAGAGCTTCTGCACAGAAAATAAAATTAAATTAAAAAATCAGCAAACAAGCATCCTACAGAATGGGAGAATATATTTGCAGACTCTGCATCTGATAGAGGACGAATAGCGAGAACCTGTACAGAACTGAAATCAACAAGAAAAAAACATAACATTGTATGTCTTCTTTTTGGAAGCTCCATCCATGTTGTCATGGAATCGACCATGACCTGGCTGATTGGAATCAATCAAGTCATGGAATCAACCTAAGTGTCCATCACTGGTGGATTGGATAAAGAAAATTTAATATATATACACCATGCGGTCAATTAAAAAAGAATGAAATCATATCCTTTGAAGCAACATGGATGGAGATTCCAACAAACATATGAAAGCCACCAACAAACATATGAAAAGATGCTCACCATCAATAATCATCAGAGAAATGCAAATTAAAATGCAAATTATGTGAAGATGTCTATTGTCTTCTGGTATCAACGTGATACCATCTCATACCTGTCAGAATGGCTGTTATTAAGAAGTTGAAAAATAACAGATGTTGGCAAGGCCATGAAGAAAAGAGAATGATTATACACTGTTAGTGGGAATACAAAACTTTTTAGCCACTGTGGGAAGCAATTTGGAAATTTCTCAAAGAAATAAAAATAGAACTAACATTTGACCCAGCAATACCACTACTGATTACTTACCCAAAGGAAAATAAATTGTTATGTCACAAAGATACCCTCACATGTATTTTTATTTCAGTGCTATTCACCATGGTAAAGTTATGGGATCAACCTAACCTAAGTGTCCATCATTGGTGGATTGGATAAAGAAAATGGGATATATACATCATGGATTACTATGCAGTCATTAAAAAAGAATGAAATCATGTCTGTTGAAGAAACATGGATGGAGCTGGAGGTTATTATCTTAAGTGAAACAACTCAGAACCAGAAAATCAAATACCACATATTCTCACTTATAAGTGGGAACCAAATAATGGGTACATATAGACATATGAATGGAAATAATAGACACTGGGGATTCCAAAAAGGGAGAGTGGGAGGGAATGAGTGTCTAAAAATTACCTCTTGGGTACAATGTTCACTATTTGGGTGATGGGTTCACTAGAAGTCCAAATCTCACCATTATGCAATATATCCTTGTAACACCTGCATGTGTACCCCAGAATCTAGAATAAAACATAAATAAAGATAAGATATTGAGTTTGTGTGCATGGACATGATTTCTCACTCTACTTATTAAAATATCATTTAATCTTCCTATAATATAATCTACAGTTTTAGTGAAGATGAAAATGTCTATTATCCTCTGTGTTGAATATATTTCTAAGTATAGCATCTTTAACAGTTTTGTTGAGGTACAATTGATATTTAAAAACTGTACATTTAATATACAGTAGTTTTTCTAATTATCTATGGGGTTATGTCCCAATAAACCCATCATAATTTAAAATACAGTAAGTTGAAAATGCATTTAATACACCTAACTTACTGAACATGGTATTTTATCATAGCCTACCTTACATATGTTCAAAACACATTAGCCTATAGCTGGGTTAAACTACAGTTGGGTGAACTTCTTAACAAATTCTGAAGTCCACAATTATGTATTGCTAACTATGTTGTACAGCACACTTCTAAAAGAATTTATTCATCTTGCATATACTCATTGAGTAAAATTTTGCTCTCCATTTTCTTCTGTTCCCGGACCCGAGCAACCACCATTCCATTCTTTGCTTCTACAAGTTTTACTATTTTAGATACCTCATATAAGAAGAATCACGCAGTATTCATCCCACTGTTGCTGGCTTAGTTCATTAAACATAATCTCAAGATTTATCCATGTTGTCACAGATGGTAGAATTTGTTACTTTTTAAAGTGGAATAGTCCTCCATTTTATGTATTTGCCATGTTTTCTTTATCCAGTTTTCTGTCTATGGACCGTTTCCATATCTTGGCTATTTTTAAAAATGTCGCAATGAACGTAAGAGGGGAAACATCTCTTCAAGATCCTGATTTCAATTATTTGGTATATTTTGTAAATATACCCAGAAGTGGGATTGTGGGATCCATTAACAGTTGTAGTTTTGATTTTTTGAGGAATCTCCTTTGCCATTCTCTATAGTGGCATCACTATTTTTCATTCCCACCAACAGTGTACAAATATTCCAATTTCTCCACATCATTGCTGACACTTACTTTTGTGTATATATGTGCTTTTTTGTTTTGTTTTGTTTTTGTTTTTGTTTTGAGACGGAGTCTCGCTCTGTCGCCCAGGCTGGAGTGCAGTGGCACTATTTCCTCTCACTGCAAGCTCCGCCTCCCAGTTTCACGCCATTCTCCAGCCACAGCCTCCCCAGTAGCTGGGACTACAGGCGCCTGCCCCTGCTCCATGCTAATTTTTTTGTATTTTTTTTTAGTAGATACGGGGTTTCACCGTTTTAGCCAGGATGGTCTCGATATCCTGACTTTGTGATCGGCCCGCCTCGGCCTCCCAAAGTGCTGGGATTACAGGCGTGAGCCACTGCGCCCAGCCATATGTGTGTTTTAATAATAGCTGCCATAATCGATACGAGTTAATATCTCATTGTAAGTTTTATCTGAATTTCCCTCATGATTATTGGTGTTGAGTATCTTTTCTTATGTCTAGTGGCCATTTATATGTCTTCTTTGAAGTAAAGTCTATTGAGGTACTTTGCCCATTTTTGAAGCTTTTATTTTCTGTTGAGTCGTAATCGTTTCTTATACATATTGAATATTAACCACTTTTCAGATATGTGATTTGCAAATATTTTTCTCCGATTCTGTATGTTACTTCTTCATGGTGTTATCTCGTTTGCTATAAAGAGGTTTTTGTGTGTGTTTTATACAGTCCCACTTATCTATTTTTGCTTTTGTTGCCTGTGTTTGGTATCATATAAAAAAGAAATTGCCAAGACCAATGTCAAGAAGGTTTTTCCACATGATTTTTTCTACTAGTTTTGCAGTTTTAGGATTTACATTTAAATCTTTAATCCACTTTGATTGATTTTGTGCATGGTGTAATATAGATGTCCAATTTCATTTTGTTGCCTGTGGATACCCAGTTTTCTCAATACTAGTTCATGAAGAGATCATAATTTCCCCATAGTGTATTGTTGACATTCTTGTTGAAGATCAGTTGACTGTATATGGGTCGGTTTATTTCTGGACTCTCCATTCTGTTCAATTTGTCTACTGTTTTTATGCTAGTATCATACTGCCTTAATTCCTATAGCTTTGTTACATAGGTTAACTTCAAAAATGTCATACTTCTAGGTTTGTTTTTATATTTCTCAAGGTAATTTTGTTTATTTTGGACTTTTTTTTTGGTCCCACATGAATTACAGGATTGTTCTCATCTGTTTCTGTGAAAAATGCCACAGGAGTTTTGCAAGATAGCACTGATTTGTAGATTGCTTTGGTATTATGAACATTTTAAGAATATTATTTCTTGTAATGTGTAAACAAATAATGTTTCCATTTCTTTGTGTCTTTAACTTATTTCAAATGTGTTTTGTAGTTTTCAGTGTGCAGGTGTTTAATCTTCTTTGTTGTATTTATTCCTAAGCATTTTATCCTTTTCGATGTTATTGTAATTGGAATTGTTTTTTTTATTTTCATTTTTGATAATTTGCTGTTAGTATATGAAAGCACAGCTAGTCGTGTGTTTATTTCATATCCTCCAACTTTACTGAATTTTATACTAGTACTAAAATGTTTTTGATGTAGTCTTCAGGTTTTTCTACATGTAAGATGATATCATCTGCATACAAAAATAGTTTCATTTCCTCCGTTCTGAATAGAGTCTTTTATTTATTTACTCTTCACCTAATTGTTCTGGTAGGACCTCCAGTACTACACTGAATAGAAGTAGTGAGAATGGACATCCTTGTCTCATTCCCGAACTTAGAGGAATAGCTTTCAGCTTGTCACCGTTGAGTATGTCGTTAACTTTGAGCTTATCATCTTTGACTTGTATTATGTTGAGGTACATTCTTTCTATACCTAATTTGTTGAGAGTTTTTATTGTGAACATGTTGAGTTTTGTGAAATGCCTTTTCTGGACCTATTGAGATGATCCTATGGTTTTTATTTTACATTCCACTAATGTAGTGTATCACATTTTTTGATTTGCATATTTTGAACTCCGCATTCCAGGAAAAAAATCTCACATGGTCATGGTGAATGAACCTATTAATATGCTTTGAATTCAGTTTGCTAGTGTCTTTTAAGGATATTTATATCTGAGCCATAATGGTTATTGGTTTGTAATTTTGCTGCTTGTAGTGTCTTTAGCATGGTTTGGTATCATCTTAAGTGATGATACCATCTTAAGCCACGGCACAAAAAATGAGTTTAGTAGTCTTGCCTATTCTTCATTTTTTTGGAATCTCTTGTGAAGGGTGGACACAAATTATTGTTTAAATGGTTGGTAGAATTCACCAGTGAGACCAGTCAAGTCCTGGAATTTTTTTTTGTTAGGATGCATTTGGTTAATGATGGAATTGTCTTACTCTTATTTGTCTGTTCAGATATTCTATTTCTTCATGAGTCAGTCCTGGTAAGTTGTACGTTTCTATGAATCTATTTCTATAGTTCATCCAATTTGTTGTCATATAAATGGTATTAGTAGACTAATGTTTATTTCTATGGCAAAAGTACTTTATTTATTCCATTATATTTATTATTTCTTTTTGTTTTTGAACTTGGTTTTATTTTGCTCCTCTTTTCTAGTTTTCTAAGGTAGAAGCCCAGATCATTGACTTTAAACCCGTCTTCTTTTAAATGTAAGCATTTTAATCTTATAGTTACCTTATGAGCATATTTTAGCTTCACATTACAAATTATTATATTTGGTGTTCTTTATTTTTTTATTCAGAACAATTACACATTAATGTAGAGACGTTATTTGTCCTATGGGAAATTTAGATGTGTTACTAATTTTGAAATAATTTGGACTATCTTGCTGATGTTCATTCCTTCCTTATTGTTGCTTTGGTCAGAGAACATATTCTGTATGACTGAAATTTAAGGAGGCTTATTTCATAACTATAATGTATTTTGGCAACTGTTCGATATGCTCTTGAATAAAACAATGCACTCTCTTTCTGTTGTTGGAAGTGTTTTCCACATTTCAATTATGTCAAGTTGATTGATATTTTGATCTGTCTTTTATATTCTTATTGATTTTAATCAATTTTATTAAAATATCTATATACACTTACATCTACACATTTTAAATATAAAGATTTATTATTTTAACAAACATATAAAGTTAAAATCAAGATATAGTACATTTTCAGAACCTCAAAAACTTCCCTCATGTTTCCTTCAGTGAATCCAAATCCACCTCACTCCCAGACCTCATGAAACCAACTGATCTAATTTCTGTCACTAAAGGTTAGTGAGTTTTCTTTTCTACAATTTCACATACATGTGTAAACTTTCTGTAAGATTCATTCTGAGATTAGTCTATACTGTATTTCTGTATTAGCAGATTGTTTCTTTTTACCATTGAGTATTCTATTATACAAATAATATAATGTGTTAATCCATTTATCTGTTGATATATATTTGGATTGTTTTTAGTTTGGGGCTGTTTTGCATAAAGGCTGCTAAAAGCATTTGTGAATTAGTCTTTTTGTAAAGAAAGGCTTTTATTTTTCTTGGGTAAATACATTGAAGTGAGATTGCTGGGTTCATGCTGGGTTCATATGACTTACAATTGTAGAAAATTATATCTTGTTTTTAAACGTGCTCTAATAGTACTGTCTTAGAAAAAATAAATTCTATATGTGTGCTCTTCAATAAGTAGTCACTGCCCTCCTGTATTTAATTTTAACATTTAATTTAATTTTAATTTTAATTAACTAAAATAAATTTAAAATTGAGTTTCTTAGTCAAACTAGCAACATTTTAGTTTTAATGTTCAGTAGCCATATGAGTCTAATTGTAACTGTATTGAACAGCAGAGATTATTGAAGAAAATTGTATTGGATAGTTATGGTCTATATAACTAGTTCTTATTGTGATATTTAGAGTGAGGAAAAAACAATCCTATGTAGGTATATATATATATATGCTTAATAACATCTGAGTAAGAGTATTCACATGTTTACTTTTTAACTATTATAATAATATTCAAATTATTTTGATCACCAAAGAAGAAAGTGTTGAGTTATTGAAAACTATAAGATCTATACAAAATGAAGGCTGGTAATCATGTTTAATTAATATCATGGATTTGACCATTGGTCTCTAGACAGTTCGCAACACACAAGAGCTTGACCCAGAGCATATTCCACTTATTATGCTCTGCCAGTTACACGTTCCATACTCCTAACCTACAACACTAAAAAAAAAGACAAGAAAATCATGTCGTCTTCTCAGGCTGTTGCTTTCCTCCACTCTTATGAATTCTTTTTCAGGGGTCCCTTACTTTTGATCTCAAAGAGATCCCAGAGGAGTGAATGTGCATGAGAGAACGAAAACGGAATCTCTCCAATGTTTCCTTCGGGTTTTCAAGTTATCCAATAAGCTCATCTCATGATCATTTCTAAAGTGTCTGAAAATGTATTTGTATGTTTAATTATTATATTTTAACTAAATTATTTTACATAGGCTCTGGGATCAGCTGGTAGGGTTCAAGCCCAGGATTCTTCCTTGAAATGAGATTTAGAGCAAGTAACTTGAACTCTCATTGACTTAGTTCCTTCATGTAATATGAATAGCTGAATATTGCCCTTCTCAAGGTAATAAAGATTAAGTGGTTTACACATGTTAAGCACTTACAAATGTGTCTACCACATAGTGATGATTCAATAAGCATTCAATTGCCATAACTATTTTTATTAATACTTTAATTATTTTAGATAGCTCACTGCAGTGGTATGACTAATATAGGATTTAATATTCTAAGTATTACATAAAATGTTATGTTTATTATATAGTATATCAATTTAGAGTAATTAATATAAATATATTCATATTTTTGATTATTAAAGATTTTAACTGTTGTCTGCTATGTCAAATACACTAGAAATTTTATTAATATACATAAAATCATTGGATATACCCTATAAACTTCTCAAATATTGATATCATACTATACCTCTAGAGAGAAGGTAATTATTTCTGTAACTCAGAGACAACCACTGCCATTTATTAAGACTATCCTACTTCATAAATATTGTGAAGATTGGTAGTGAGAATCAAAAATCTTGTGTTACAATCCAAAGCCTCAGATTGTGCTTCTTGGGTCATTTCAATCGCTTGGATTTTACTCAACTGAAATAAGGCTCCTCTCCATATGCATTCCTTTCTTAAGTCTAAGGCCTTAAAACAAAGTTATCCCCATGCTGGGTAAAACTGCTTTCACTCTTAGTCCCAGAAGTTACATGATCAGAGCCAAAGGTGTCACTGAGAAGAGTTTATCTAAATGGAACAAAAACTAACCTCCACATTACCAAGTTAACATTATTGAATACATTAGTGTTTACAATGGCTTTATTTTTTTTTTACCCATGAAGGGCAAACAGTGCCTTGATTAAATGTGCTCCTTTAATGACATCTTCAATCTACATAATAATTATTTGCTTCCTTAAGTTTCTTCTCATCAACTGAAAGTTTAACTTTGCAAATGGAATATTCTCAGAAGAGTGGTACTGTTAATAGAGCTGAATTCCTAACAGAAAGGCACAAGAAGATCTTGTGCAAATTAACCAGGACCCAGGAGGAAGGCCATGCTCATGTAGGTACTTAATTGATCTTGTTAATGATGATGATACACTTCATGAGTACAAGCATCAATTAGGGAGAAAAGTAACTTGCCACGGTTTAGTAAGCAGAATGTTCAAGAAAGCAAGGGATTTCAAGGAAGATACCTTAATAGTGCAAACTACCCATTTTATGTTCCAGGAGAGTTGTGAATTGGCATTTCCCTTTTAATCATTTACAAGTAACTTTGAAAATTCCAGGATTAAATGCCTAAAGAATCTCTAGATAATACTAGAAAATGCCTGACTAAAAATCCACAGCTAGGTGAATCTCAGGTTCAGGTAATGCTCCCTTGATCCTTCACAACCTGTTATGTAAAGGTGGAGCTGTCACTGCTCTCCAAAGTAATTGTAGAAACCTACCATTTTCTCTGCAAAAACGTGTGTTTTGTTTGTTTTGTTTTTTTACAAATGGCATATTAACCACAGGTTAGCTTTTATAGGAGATTAAAATGTCTGTATTTACTAGAGTATCTTCTCTAATTCCATCAAAAATAATTATCAACATAAAAGGGCATTCATTTTTAATAGAGCCTTAGAAACAAGGTGGTTGTCAGTAAAGTATACTGAATTCAGCACACAAAACGTTTTAGATTTAGCTAAGATGTATTTAGCACTGAATTGAGTACGGTAGATATCCCTCCAAGACTAAAGCACTCATTCCCCAGTTGATGGTAGTCAATTTGCTCATTCCTGAAGCCCTTTTCAGGAATTTTCCTTCAGTGGAGGAAACCACCTCAACTAAGATTGTGTGCAGTCCCTGGAGTCAGCCCTTGTCTAATGACTGTTTTATGTAAGTTAAAGACCAGGCTTATTTTTGCCTCAGTTGGAGTATTCTGCTCCCTTTAAGACTGGTGAGGCATCTGTTCCAATTGTACCCCAGTTCAATTTATCTTTCTTCCCAATATTATTTCTTTTGCTGCTCACAGATACTGTTTCCAAATCAATCCCCAATAAAAGTCGCGAATATAAATTCAAGAGTTTCAGAGTCTGTTTTCTATGGAAACTAATCAACTACTGCATTACCAGATGTCCTAGGAAGTCGACTTAAACCTGGATTACTTACCTTCTAGTTGGCAACGAAGACTTCATCACCTGCAGTAGGTGAAGAGCTAAAAGATCTTGATACATGATTTAAGAGCATTTGCTAAAACTTTCCATGGTAATGAGCTAGGATTAATACCTGTGCTAAAGAATGCACTGGTAAGTGCAGTATCTCAAGATAAGTTTGGTAGTAATAACAATGAAGTCTATTGAATTGCATAGCTGTTTCTAAGGGCCAGTGATGATGACAGGAGAAAAGAAAAAAAAAGTATAAGGGTGATTAATATAAAGCAGATTGAGAATGCCAGAGGACTTCTTAGTAGCATATAAAAAACCAGGGACAGAAAGAGACTGAGAATCTGGACCAAACCTTAATTATAAGACTAGAGATCTCCAAGAAATGTTGAATTGTTAATTCTGGCAGTTCTGGTATACCAAGATGAGGACTCCGATTGAGAAAGGGTGGATACCTAAGGTTTAAGATGAAGCGTATGGATTGATGCACTTGAAAATGGTAAAATCTCAGTTTTGCTCAAACCTTCTGAGATTACAGAAGTTTCTCACTCCTCCCTATTAAAGCAAAGATGTACCTCTTGCTTTCAGATGAAGCAAAGGCTTATCTCTCACAGAACAACACAGGTTTCATTCAGGATCTGGCTCTGACTCCTCTCTGGTCCAACAGATTTAAACTAGAGCCAAGTCATATTGTAACTCAGCAGACAAAGTACTGGGCCTGCTAAAGGAAGGAAGGACGTTGCATATGAAAACGTTGCAAGAGCTAGCCAGGCAGAGCTTGGGTTGTCTGGATATTCCATGAAATAGTACATTGACCCCCTTGGCCAATAATCTCATGTTATTCAGACTGTATGAGCTCAGAAAGTGTGGGTAAACACAGCATAGTTTCTGTGTTTACCTCAGTGAGATTTTAGATTTCCAGTGGTGTGAGGCATGCTAAAATAGTCCATTAAAGTAACATACACATTATTGCATTTTGCGTCTCTCATCACTAAGAAGGAAGCACCACTTCTAGTAGGCCCATCTGGGTTTCAGAAGTAGCGTATTTCACAATGTTAATTGTGCTCTATCCATTTGCCAAGTTACCAAGAAGTCTGTCAGCTTTAATAAGAACCAGATCAGGAAAGCGCTCTTCAGCAGATCTGGGCAGTTGTGCAATTAGCCTTAACAGGTTTAGGTAACTTACACAATTAAACCTTTGTGTCATCACATAAATGTCAAAATAGGTATTGTTATGTTTCTGTTACATGTGAGGAAATTGAGGTCCAGTGATAAAGAGTAATGAGTTCATGCCATATTAATATATATTAGAACTAGGATGTAAACATGTGGCCTTTTTAATGGGAAATATAAGAGTCATGTTACTCTACATTGCTAAGAGTGTGAAGTGTGGTTTTACCATGTTCATAGAGCCATAACACTTCATTTGGAACTCAAAAATGTTGACTAATGAGGCTGATATTATAGAATAAATTAGACCATAGGTCAACAAACTATGGCCCCAGGGACCAAATTCACCTCTCTACCAATTTTTGCAAATACATTTTCTTTGGAACACAGCCACGTCTATTTATTTATGTATTGTGTATGGCTGTGTTCATACTACAATGACAAGTTGGATAGTTGTGATCTATAATTAATGGCCCACAGAGCGTAAACATGTAATAACCAGCCCTTTACAGGAAAAGTTTACCAACCTCTGTTCTAGATGCAGTCATGGGATAATAATCACCGAGTAGAGGTTGAGTAGAGGGTACTTATGAGAAAATTGGGATATAAAAAATTATACCGTGAAATAAAATTCCAAGTATTCTTAGCTCTGTTTTTTTTTCCACAGTTATTTTTGCACACCTAGCACAGTGCTTAGCATTTAGTACACCTTAAAAATACTTGCTAGAACAGCCAGGGACAGTGGCTCATGCCTGTAATCCCAGGACTTTGGGAGGCCGAGGCAGACGGATCACCTGAGGTCAGGAGTTCAAGACCCCCCTGGCCAACATGGTGAAACCCCGTCTCTACTAAATATACAAAAAATTAGCCAGGTGTTGTGGTGGTCACTGTAATCCCAGCTACTCGGGAGGCTAAGGTAGGAGAATTGCTTGAACCCAAGAGAGGGAGGTTACAGTGAGACGAGACTGAGCCGTTACACTTCAGCCTGGGCTACAAGAGCGAGAATCTGTCTCAAAAAGAAAAAAATAAAAATAAAAACAACAACAACAACAACAACTTGTTAACACAATGCTAAATAAAAATAATAGAGCCCTGTAAGCGCTTTGAATATAGTAATGCCATGATTAGATAATTATTTTTTTAAAATTATTCTCCAACTATTTTCCTACTTAAATTGCAAAAGAGTGATTTTAGAGATATGAAATGCTTGAAAAATCTTATAATAGTTCAGATAAGCAGTAATAAATTGGTTTGGAATTGGCACTAAATTAAAGGAAATTAGTAAAAAATAACATTTTGGAAAAAAAAAACAAAGGTCACTTTCAATTGATTGAATGTGGAAGATATATTCCTGCACTTTTACCTTTAAAGGTTTATGATAAATATTTACTGTGTTTATTTAGATGGTATGACTCTATATTTGAATTTTGTAGAAATTGGCTGTTAGTGAAGACTCCTGTTGTCTTTCTGATCTACTTGGTGTTGCCATAAGAAGCTACAGAGTTCAGAAACCACTATTAACAACAATGGAAAATTTTATTTTATTGGTGACACATAAATTGAATCTGCTTCTAGATGACTTGGTCAGAGACTTCATTGATTCACTTGCCTTTTTGTTTAGCACTCTCCAGATAATCTTCTTTCTGGTTTTTTTTTTGTTGTTGTTGTTCAAATTCAACTTCTGTTATTTTTGTAGGATGATCCTCCTGAACCTAAACTTGATGGAATTCCTCTGTCTCTAAAACAAGACTTGCAGAGAATACATTTATAGTTCATTGTGTTTAAAGAGAAAGAAAAATAAGTCAAGTAGCATACAAAAATCTTAGTATTGAATGTGTGACTTGCTATCTATTTTTTTCTTTTTAAATCCTTTCTCTCCAAGAAATATGCAAAAACTAAACAAAATAATAAAAACTTCTATTATTTTGAGAATTAGGTAGCCTTTTTATTTTTCTTAATATGTGCTTCTCTTTTGATGGGTAGCACATAGAGATTTGCCATGGCAAATACTTTTTATCATCATTTGAATACTATTTTCTCAAAGAATAGCAATGAGTTTTATTTTTTACCTTATAGAGAGAATTTTGAATCCCTAAGCTGTGTACACCACCTTAGTGACTTTATTCAAAGCTTACCAATTCATTTACTCAACAAGTACTTATTGAGTTGAGCTCTAGACACATGTGGCATGTAGCATATGATCCTATTTTAAGATTTTATTTCAAGAAGAAATGTTAAGGAACAGTTGGGCAACTTTTAGGTTTGCTAGGCACATAAACTAAGAGGAAGGGCTTTGATGAATGGTGAAGCACCATAAGAAAAAAAAAGACAGGTTCACAGAGGAACTATCTGAGACATAGTATATAGTTATAAAGATCTCAGTGAGTTTGGAATTGTAGAACTTTAAGACAAGAACTGAAATAATAGAAACCCATGTCTTAAAATAAATTTTTAAATCAAGTTATTAGAAGTGGTCCAATGATAACAAAATGAGATTGAGGTTTAAGGCAGTAGATTTCTAATACTGACACCCATGACCATTGTAGCATTATTCACAATAGCCAAAAAGTGGAAGCAACTCAAGTGTCTACAAATACATGAATGGATAAACAAGATATGATATCCACATACAATGAGATTTTATCCAGTTTTAAAAACAAAAGAAATTCTGACACATGCTACGACATGAATGAACCTAAGCAACATTATACTAAGTAAAATCAGACAGTTATAAGAGGACAAATGCTGTATGATCCCACTTATATAAGGTATTCAATGTAGTCAGATTTATAGAGATAGAAAATGGAATAATGGTTGCTAGGGAGTTGGAAGGGGGGATATGGAGATGTAGTGCTTAATGGGAACAATGTTTCAGTTTGGGAATATAAAAAAGTAATGGAGATGAATGGTGGTGATGGTTGCACAATTTTGTGAATATATTTCATGACGCTGACCTGTACTCTTAAAATTGTAAAGGTGGTAAAATTTATGTTATGTATATTTTACCACAACTTAAATATTACAGATAAAAGTCAATGAAAATGAGCACATTATATAACTTAGAGATTAGACTGTTAGTGTTTCATCTTTGTGACAGGTGGGAGAAAATAAAGAATGTTAGTAGAACAAATAGTTATGAATGAAAAAGGCACTGTGACCAGGAGGTGTGTAAAATTCACCAAGAAGAAGAAGATGTATCTAGATGCTGTGATTCTCACATGAGCTGCATAGAATGATAGTAATGGTCTAGAATTGGCAATATGGTTGAAAGGGTGCACCAGTTCTACCTCCTGGATCTATAATATGTGACATGTTAAAGAAAAAGAAGCTTGCCTTCAGGAGCGCTAGAGGGTATATGAGTTAGGAATAGTGTTCATCTAATAATATAAACATTCTAAGTTACAGTGACTGTATTAGTCAGGGCTCTGCGGAGGGACAGAACTAATAGGATAGATGTATATGTGAAAGGGAGTTTATCGAGTATTGACTCACATGATCACAAGGTGAAGTCCCACTATAAACTGTGGGCAAGCTGAGAACCAAGGAAGCCAGTTTGAGTCCCCAAACCTCAAAAGTCGGGAAGCTGACAATGCAACTTTCAGTCTGTGGCCAAAGGCCTGAGAGCCCCTGGCAAACCACTGGTGTTAAGTATAAGAGTCCAAAAACTCAAGAATTTGGAGTCTGATGTTCGAGGGTAGGAAGCACTCAGCATGGGAGAAAGATGAAGGCTGGAAGACTCAGTGAGTCGGCTTCTTTCACCTTCTGCCTGATTTTTCTAGCTAGCTGGAAGCCAACTGGATGGTGCCCACCCATAATGTGTGTGGGTCTTCCTGAGGGTAGGTCTTCCTGTTTTAGTCCACTGACTTAAATGTTAATCTCTTCTGGCAGCACCCAGAAACACCCAGATACACCCAGAAACAATACTTTTCATCCTTCAACACAATCAAGTTGACACTGAATATCAACCATCACAGTGACATAAACACAATAACAGGACTGTTTTTCTTTTACCTAACATGAAGAGCAGTAGACATTTGAATGCATGAATGCCATCCCAGAATCAGACTCACTATTTTTCTCACAGACTTGGATTTCATCTTCATTGTGCCCACATGTTAATAAAAAGGCACTCAAACTATAGCCATGAAAATTATAGTCCTAAGATTAAACAGAATCATTCATCTATTTTCTATTAAAATATGTAGTGAAAAGCATAGTAAATTATAATAAATGGCCAACTAGTGTGTGGTTTTAATGCTTATTATCAATCACTCTTCTCTGTAATATTGTTAACAAGTTAGCCTTGAGTTGTTGGTTAATGTATCTGCCCTTTCTGATTCTGATTTTTTTTTCTCAATTTTTAGCACTCTTTAAATTTTTTATTTTCAACATCAACAAAATCATATATTATATTGATCACTTCTTTGCTAGAGCTAACAAATTAATTTCAGCAAATTTATAATTTCAATTTGAAATTATTCCAATATAATATAGTAGTATAGAAAGTTAACAAACAACCCCCTCCTGTCCTTCCCATTTACTTACACAATTTTTTAAATTATTAGTTATTTCAACTGTCCCATTGTTAAGGTTTCCCTCCCTCCCTCTCACTGGATTTATCAGTTTTGATTGCATTAGTTTGCTTGGGCTGTCATAAAAAAATACCACAGAATGTCTAGCAAAATTAATAGAAATGTATTTTCTCATAGTTCTAGAGGCTGGAATTTCAGGATCAAGGTGCCAGCAGGATTGGTTTCCCCTGAAGCCTCAGCTTGGCTTGCAGGTAGCCACCTTCTCATGCCCTTTCACACAGTCTTTACTCCGTGTCGCACATCCCAAATCCTTTTTGTCTCTTCCTTTTCTTTGTAAGGACACCAATCTTATCCAATTAGGGCTCCATTACTATGACTTCATTTAACCTTAATTACCTCTTTAAAGATCCATTCTCCAAATCCACTTATATCAAGTATTAGGAACTTTAACATATGAATTTTGGTGAAACAAAATTCAGTTGGTAACAGTGGTTAAAAGGTTTTATGGAATAAAAGGAATCACTGCTGGAGTCTGTCAGCCAAATTTTATTATGCATGTCATGTACATAAGGGTTATTATATCTGCCACTTCTGATTTTTATTTTGAAGACCAAGTTTTTCCTTTCTGACTCCTGGGTCTTACTTAACAGTACTTTTTCTTTTTTTTTTTTCTGCCAAGAAAGTCATCATAAGAGAAGGGGAAGGTACAAATATTGGCAGCTCCAGCAAAAAGCACTGAATTAATTTCTGTTGCTCATGGACTATTATAGTTTCTTAAAAGTAAGAAACTTACAGAAAAATATTATTTGCTGTTATTTTGGAATGTATATTTTAAGAATATACAGAAATTTGAAAATAAAAAGTTTTATATCTTGCCTATATAGAGGTAGAAATAATTTGATAAAAATATTTTTATTAAGATAGATTATCTTAATACATAATATTGAATGCCATTTTTAAAAGCTCATAGTATGAGCAATTTCAGAATTTGCTAAAGTAATCTAAAGTAAATAAAATGTCATTATTGCATATATCAAATTTGTTTGGAAATAAACTTCATCTCTTGCCATGCAATTAAATGGTAAATAACATAATTTATATGATGAATAAAACATCTTAAATAAAAGAGACTTACTCTTTTTTGTCAAAAATGTCATCCCATAAGTTTTAAAAGACTGGTGTGATAACATAATTTCTTGAAAGTATTATGTTGCTAGGAGGTGAAATGCTTAGCCTATATCTGGGAAAGGTGTTAAGAATATTCCTCTCCCACTGTACATTATAGTCTTCAAGTCTATATTTCAGAAAACTTTTGTTTGGAGAAATGTCAAGTTAAGGAATCCAGTAAAGAATCATATTTAGTACAGTTAAAATCAAGAATAATGTGTGAAAGCCATCCAAGAAATTATTTCTATTGAAGAACTTGATCTTTGCTTTAAAATAACAAAAATATTATGCATTGGATATATATTGATAGAACAAACTCTTTGCCTTGCCTCTACCCAGAAACTTTTATTACTATTTATTTAGCAATCTATTTCTGTAGTATTATTATCTGGGACTGGACACACATCAAGGGCTAGTGCAAGAGATCATGAGAGACATGTCTGATTGAGTTTGCTACTTCAGGGGAAAGCCAAGACAAATGATAGAAAACAGGAGAAGATGTCAATATCCTATTTATAAGTAAGAATTTTTAAGTTCAAAGAAATTTTTTGAGGAAAATGCTACAAATGTAAATGCATTTTTATTTCTCCTCAAACTAAACATCAGTAATCAGAATTAATCTGAATTATAGAGTGCTTAGAATTTACTTCAGAAACAGTAATTTATTAGCTATCATTGAAAGTTGCATCAAGATCAAATTTTTAGTGTTTCACAATTTGGAATATTTTTCTTAACTGAGGCTTGAGTTCACTCTAGATTTGATCAGGATGCAAGTATGGAAGGGAATTTTTTGAACTATTGTGATAGCAACATATACTGTTCTCCAACATATATTTTAATGACTTCTTTCCATGATTTTTTTCAGTCAGAAAAGTGTATCTAAAAGCCACAATGAAGAAACTATGGAAAATGAAATATAGTTGGTACAACAGCCATTTAAGAAACAATAGCATTCTTTCATACTGGCAGACCTCTAAGGAGCTATAAATGTCACCTCTAGCAGGGACACTATTTATTACAATATAAAACCAGAGCAGAGTCCTGAAAAGAAGTTTTAGTTTTTAAATTGAAGCATACTAGAATATCTTTGCTATGCACATACAATCCTCTCATTACCTCTCTCACATTGCCTCTCCAGAATCACAGTAGCAGCTTCATAGAATCTCTATTACATTTCCAAAGTATTGTCAAGATCTTTGAACTGGAACTGATTTATCTGAAAGGCATGTTGACATTTATACACCCTTGTCAGTTAAAGAGACACTCAAACTTTTATTGTTTCAAAGTCACATTTGACTTTTTTTCTCGAACATTTCAATTATTGAAATATTTTACTTGCAGGAAGAATTCCCGCTGACAGTAAAACAAAACCATTGTGTAATTATAAAGAAAAGATTTTCCTTAACACTCTTCACCCAATGCAAATAGGATAAAAACTACCAAAAAATCCAACTTATATCGTCTTTATGCATTTTTGTTTTTGTTTTGCTTTGTTTTGTTTTGTTTTAGAGACAGGGTCTGAGTCTTTTGCCCAGGCCAGAGTGCAGTGGCATGACCACAGCTCTCTGTAGCCTTGAACCCCTGAGATCAAGGGTTCCTCCCATCTCAACCTCCCAAGTAGTTAGGGCTACAGGCACATGCCAACACGCACAACTAATTTTTTTATGTTTCATTTTGTAGAGATGGGATCTATGTTGCCCAGGTGGTCTTGATCTCTTGGTCTCAAGCAACTCTACCTCCTTGGTCTCCCACAGAGCTGGGATTACAGGTGTAAGTCACTGAACCTGGCCCATTTACAGCTTTTGTAACTGCATAGTCTAGTCATTATTGTTAAATGTAAAAATTTAAATAGATATATCAAATTCAAAAAATAGAATAATAAATCAAAATAGATCATTGATAAATGGAAAAAAATAATATTCCCTTTGATTTTTTTGGGTGTTCTGGTTAAAATATATTTTCCAGAAACCATTGCAGTGAAAGTATATTGTTTATTAAAAGTAAATATTTGCAGAAATTTTCTTATTATTGTTTATTTTTATCATTGTGTTTTAGACTACAGATTTTTTCAAAATTTTTGTCATGGACTTAGGTCCCATTTTATTTATTTGATGTGATTTTAAAACTATTCAAAATAATTTATTAAACTTAATTAAACATGAAAGAGCTAGGTTATTTGCACCTATAATTCCAAATTTCCTAACAACTAGATTGAACAAAATGAGGAGATATCATCTTAGATTTTGTATCCAAAATGAGTGGACAGGAAGAAGATAGTCTGTTGCTGGAAAACAGAACACAATTGTATATTTCTTAGTTTAGTAAGAATAAGTTTTGTGGAAGAGAGTAATAAAAAATAATTTGGGGATGAGCAGAAAGTTGGAATTAATAAATGAATTAAAATTTGAACTTGTTCACAAGAAAGATGTTAATTTCTATAGAATCCTAACTTTAAGAAGGCAAATGACTTTAGGATTTTAAATAAACAAGTTAATCTCACAATTTTAATAGGCATATTTGTTGTATTAAATGGTATACTTTGAATTACTGATAAATCAAGTCAAAGTAAAATGTGCTTCCTTAAATAATGTTGCATAAATAACACACTACAATTTAATATGTTTTAATGAAGCCATTCTTAAGTTGTTTTTAAGTCATCAGCAAAGAATTTCCGTCAATTTTAGTAAGAAATGCCAATCGCTAAGAATTATTAACAATTATTAAATATTTAGTATGAATTGATGCTATTTAATCTTAGACAATTTTTGATTATATGCTAATCTGATAATTATGAAAAAATTTTATTTTTTCTTAATAAAATTGATAGTCAAATTTGAGAAAAATGTATTTTTAAGTCACATATTTTAAATTATAAGCTTCATATCATCTGCAAACAGAGATGATTTAAATTATTCCTTTTCTATTTTCATGCCTTTTATTTGTTTGTTTATTTATTAATTTTCACCTACTTATTCTAGCTAGGATTTCCAGTACTATATTAAATAGAAATGATGAGAGTAGGTTTTTGTCTTGTTCCTAATCTTAGAGAAAAGTAAACATTTCAACATTAAATACAAGGCTAACCGTGGGCTTGTCATATATGGCCTTTACTGTGTTGAAGTGTGTTTCTTCAGTACCCAATTTATTGATAGTTTTTATCATAAAAGGATGTCAATTTTTGCCAAATGTTTTTTCTCAATCTATTGAGAAGAATGTATGTTTTTTTTCCTTTATTTTGTTAACGTGGTATACTGTGTTTATTGATTTGCACTTGTTGAACCATCCTTGCATTCCAGGGATAAATCTCACATAATCCTAGTGAATAATAATTTTAATGTGCTGTGGATTTCAGTTTGCTAATATTGTATGGAATAATTTTGTATTATTGAAATTTGTCACTTTCTTGTAGTGTCCTAGTCCAGCTTTAATATCAGGATAACACTGGGCACATGAAAATAGTTTTCAAGTGTACCCTCCTTTTCAATATTTTGAAAAAATTTTAGAAAAATATGAGTTAGTTCTTCTTTGAACGTTTGGTAGAATTCAGGAATGGAGCTATCCAGTCCTGACATTTTCTTTGTTGAAAAGTTTTTTATTGCTGACTCAATCCTCTTACTTATTATTTATCTATTCAGATTTTCTAGTTTCTTCATGATTCAGCTTTGGTAATTTGTGTGTGTTCAGGAATTTATTCACTTCTTCCAGGTTATCTAATTTTAGGGGGTATAATTTTTTATAATGTCTTATGGTCCTTTGTATTTCTCTGGTATCATTTGTAATGGCTCCTCTTTCATTTCTGATTTTATTTCAATCTTCTCTCTTTTTTCTTTGTTAGGTTTGATAAATGTTTGTATATTTTTTAACATAAAGGAAAAACTTTAAATTTCATTGATCTTTTCTATTGTTTTTCTCATCTCTATTTCTCCTTTGATCTTTGTTATTTTCTACTTTCTGCTAAGTATTAGCTTTCTTTCCTTTTTTTTAATTTCTTGAGATACAACATTGTTACTTGCTTCAGATCTTTCTTCTTTTTCCATATAGGTACATACTGCTGTAAACTTCTCTCTTAGCTGTGCTCGTGCTATATTCCATCAGATCTGATGGTTGTATTTTTATTTTTATTTCAGAGTTTTTTCTTAAAAAATTACTTTCAATTTCTTTTTTGCCTCATTGGTTTTTCAGGAGCCATACTTGCCATGTATTTGTGAATTTTCCAAAGTTCCTCCAGTTATTGATTTTTACTTTTTTACTATTGTATCCAGAAAACATAAATGACATGATTCTAATCTTCATAAATCAATTTTTATGAAGATTTCAATCTTCATAAATTTGTTAAGACTCATTTTGTGGCCTATCATGAGATCTGTACTGTAACATGTTCTGTGTGCACTTGAGAAGAACGTGCATTCTGTTGCTGTTGGGTGGAATGCTGTGTTTGTGACTGTTAGAGTCACTTTGTCTACAGCATTGTTCAGTCCATTATTTCCTTATTGATATTCTTTCCAAATGTTTTATCCATTGTTAAAAGTAGGACATTAAAGTTTCCTACTATTATTGCATTGCTATCTGTCCCTTCATATATATTGATTTATTTTATATACTTAGGTCCTACAATATTAAGTGCATATGTATATATATGTATATATATAAACACACACACACGCTATATATGTATATATAATACTATACTATATAATATATATACCATTTACTATACTATATAATATATAACTATATGTAGTGTATGTGCATGTGTATATACATATACTCTATACTATACTATATACTATATATAGTGTGTGTATATATAAGTACTTGATAAATTGATCCTCTTATTATTATAAAATAATCTTTGCCTCTTTTTCCAGTTTTTTATTTAAAGTATATATGTATTTTTTTCCAATAGAAGTATAGATAGCCTGGTTCCCTTTTGGTTAATGTTTGCATGGAATATATTTATTCATGCTTTCAATTTCAGTCTATGTATATTCTTAGTGTAAATTCTCACATCTGGCTTTTTATTATCCCTTTAGCCTCTGTATGTCTTTTGATTTTAGTATTTAATACTTTTGCATACAAATAATTATTAATAGGTAAGAACTTATTATTGTCATTTTGTTATTTTCTGAGTGTTTTATAGTTCCCTTGTTTCTTTCTTCTTCTCTTGCTGTCTTCCTTAATGATTTGATTGGTTTCTATAGTTATAAGTTTTGATTCCTTTTTCCTTATCTTTTGTGTAACTAATATAGAGTTTTGACATGTGGTTAGCATGAGGCTTACATCACATATTTGTAATAGCCTATTTTAATCTGATAACACTTAAGCTCAATGACATACAAAATCTCTACCCTTCTGCTGCTCTTGAGGCCACAATTTATAGATTTTTTAAATGTATTGTATCCCTTAAAACTCATTTTAATGATAATTATTTTAACAGTTTTGTATTTTAACACTTATCCTAAAAATGTTATTTGCACAGTGCCATTACAGTACTAGTATTCTGAATTTCACTAAGTACTTACTTTTACCAGTAAGTTTTTATATTTCCATGTGTTTTAATATTACTTATTATATTTTTGCCAGCCTAATGACTTCCCTATACAATTTCTGATAAGACAAGTTTAGTGGTAATAAACTGCTTGAGCTCTTGTTGGTCTGAGAAACTCTTTATCTCTCTTTCATTTCTGAAGGACAGATTCACTTGGCAAGTATTCTTGGTTGGCAGTTTTGTCTTTTTTTTTAACATTGTAAATATATCATCTCACTCTATCCTGGTCTGTGAAGTTTCTTCTGAAAAATCTGCTGATAGTGGATTGTCTCTGTTTGCAAATGACATGACTTTATTTAGAGAAAATCCCAAGGACTCCCTAAAAACCTGTTAGAACCAGTAAATAAATTCTGTACAGTTGCAGAATAGAAAATCAGCATGCAGAGATTAGTAGCATTTCTATACATAAACAATGAACTGTCAAGAAACAAGAAAATAATCCCATAAAGCATATAAAAATACTTAGAAGTAAATTCAACCAAGGTGAAAAATGTGTACACTAAAATCCTTAAAACATTGATGAATCAAACTGAAGAAGAAACAAATACATTGAAATATTTCTTATTGTATTAGGGTTCTCTAGAGGGACAGAACTTATAGGATATATGTATATATGAGAAGGAATTTATTAAGGCGTATTGACTCACATGATTACAAGGTAAAGTCCTACAATAGGCTGTCTGCAAGCTGAGGAGCAAGGAAGCCAGTCCAAGTCCCAAAACCTCAAAGGTAGGGAAACTGACAGTGCAGCCTTCAGTCTGTGGCTGAAGGTCTTGAGAGCCCCTCACAAACCACTGGTTAAGTCCAAGAGTCCAAAAGCTGAACTTGGAGTCTGACGTTCAAGGGCAGGAAGCATCCAGTATGGGAGGAAGATAAAGGCCAGAAGACTCAGCAAGTCTGCTCATTCCACCTTCTGCCTGCTTTTTCTAGCCACAGTGGCATCCAAGGGAATGGTGCCCACACAGATTATGGGTGGATCTGCCTCTGCCAGTTCACTGACTCAAATGTTAATCTCCTTTAGCAACGTCCTCACAAACACACCCAGAAACAATGCTTTGCATCCTTCATTCCAATCAAGTTGAAACTCAGTATTAACTATCACACTTATGTTAATAGGTTGCAATAATATGTATTATTAAAATGTTCAGACAACTAAAAGTAATCTACAGATTAGACCCCATCAAAATTCCAATATTTGTCACAGAAATAGAAAAAGCAATTCTAAAATGTTTATGAAATGATAAAAACACTCTGAACACCAAGGCAATATTGATTAAAAATAACAAAGCTGAAAGCATCACACTACCTGATTTCAAAGTATATTACAAAGCTATAATAATCAATACAATAAATGTATTGGCATAAAAACATCCACGAATGGAACAGAGTAGAGGGTACATAAATAAATACATATGTCTAAGGTCAACTGATCTGTGACAAAGGTGCCAAAAACATATTCTGGGGAAAGAAAAGCCTCTTAGATAAATGGTGTTGGGGAAATTGGATATACACATACAGAAAAATGAAATTGGACTTTTATCTCTCACCATATAAAAAGCAACTCAAAATGGATAAAATACTTAATTGTAAGAATGGAAACTATAAAACTACTCAAAGAAAACCTAGAGTAAACTATTCTTGATAATTGCCTTATCAAATTTTTTGTGGCTCCAAAAGCACAAGCATAATAGCAAAATTAGCCAAATAGAATTATATAAAACTACAAAGCTCTGCACCACAAAGAAAACAATCACCAGAATGAAAAGACAATATATGGAATCGTAGAAAATATTTACAGACTACACACTAATAAAGAGTTAATATCCATAAAATATAAGGAACTGAAACAATTCAATAGCAAGAAAACAACTAACTCTATTTAAAAACATCCCATAGAACTGAAAAGACATTCCCAAAAGTTGAGAGAAAAAATAGCCAACAGGTCTGTAGAAAAATGCTCAACATCACTAATCATCAGAGAAATGGAAGTTAAAACCAGAATATGATGAAATCTCATACCTGTTTAGATGGCTTTTATGAAAAAGACAGAAGACAAGAGTTTGCTAGGTTGCAAAGAAAAGGGAACACTTGTACACTGTGGGTATAAAGACAAATCAGCACAACCATTATGAAAACCAATATGGAAGCTTTTTAAGTAATTGAAAGTAGAACTACCATATAATCCAGCAATTTCAATTTTGGATCTATGGATGGCTTCCCACTTAAAATTATTTAATTTATGATTTTTGTTTACTTTATGTTTGGCTTATCAGGGTATTAAATTTATTTTTAAATTGTGATCTTTTCAATTTACTATGGATGTGTTAAGATAAAATTTTGTCATAAGTCATAGAGCATATGTACATTCAAAGCAAATGAAATCAGTATGTGAAAGAGATTTCTGCACCTCTATGTTCATTGCAGCATTATTTGCAATAGCCAAGACACAGAAACAATTTAAGGGTTCACTAAAAGAGGAATGGATAAAGAAAATATGGTGTATCTACCTAACGGAACACTGTTGTGCTTTAACAAGAAAGGACAGTCTATCACTTGTGACAACATGACTGAATCTGGAGGTTGTTATACTAAGTGAAATAAGCCAGGTACAGAATAGACAGAAAGACAAATGCTCACTTATATGTTGATGTGATTAGGATCTGTGTCCTGATACAAATCTCATGTTCAATTGTAATCCCCGATGTTGAAGGTGAGACCTGGTGGAAGGTGATTGAATCATAGGGGTGTTTTCTCATGAATGGTTTAGCATCATTCCCTTGATGATTTTCTCCTGATAATGAGTGAGTTCTCATGAGATTTGGTTTTTTAAAACTGTGTAGCACCTCCCCTCTATGCTGTTGCTTTTGCCATGTGATGTGCTGGCTCCCCCTTTGCCTTCTATCATGATTGTAAGCTTCCTGAGATTTCATCAGAAGACAAGCAGATACCTAGTGCCATGCATCCTGTATAGCCTGTAGAACTGTGAGCCAATTAAACCTATTTTCTTTATAAAGTACCCCTTCTCAGGTACTTCTTAACAGGCAGAGGTTGGAAGAGTTTGGAGGGCTCAGAAGAAGGCAGAAAGATGAGGGAAATTTCAAAACTTCCTAGAGACTGGTTGAATGCTTGTGACTGAAATGCTGACAGTGTTATGGACAGTGAAGGCCAGAATGTTGAGGTCTCAGATGGAACTGAGAAACTTATTGGGAACTAGAACAAAGGGCACTTTTGTGATGCTATAGCAAATAACTTGGCACATTTTGTCTCTGCCTTAGGGCTCTGTGGAATTTTTAATTTGAGAGTAATGATTTAGGGTACTTGGCAGAAAAAATTTCTAAGCAGCAAAAGGTTCAAGAAGTAACCTGGCTGCTTCTAACAGCCTATGTTCATAAGCATGAGCAAACAATTGATCTATAGTTTGAACTTATATTTAAAAAGGAAGCAGAATATAAAAGTTTGAAAAGTTTGAAAATTTTGCAGCCTGTTCATGTGGTAGAAAAGAAAAGCCCATTTTCAGAAGAATTCAAGTAAGATGCTGAGTAATCACTTGCTAGAGAAATTTACATAAGTAAAAAGGAACCAAATGTTAATCACCAAGACAATGGGGAAAAGGTCTCAAAGTCATTTCAGAGACCTTAGCAACAGCTCCTCCTATCACAGGCCTGGAAGGCTAGGGAGAATGAATGGTTTTATAGGCTGAATGGTTTTTGCCCTGCACAGCCTAATGATATTGCTCTCTGTATACCAGATACTGCAGCTCCAGCTGTGGCTCGAAGGGGCCCAGGTACAGCTTGGAACGCTGCTTCAAAAGGTGCAAGCCATAAGCCTAGGTGGCTTTTACATGGTGTTAAGCCTGCAGGTGCACAGAGTAAAAGAGTTGAGGCTTGGGATCCTCTGCCTAGATTTCAGAGGATGTATGGAAAAGCCTGGTTGCTCAGGTAAAGCCTGCTGCAGAGGCAGAATCCTCATGGAGAACATCTACTAGGGAAGAGTGAAGGGAAAATGTGAAGTTAGAGCCCCTACTCAGAGTCCCCACTGGGGCACTGCCTAGTGGATCTGCGAGAAGAGTGCCATCATTCTTCAGATACCGGAATAGTAGATCCATCAACAGCTTGCACCCTGCACCTGGAAAAGCTGCACACACTCGATGCTACCCCATAAAAACAGCTCCAGGGGCTAACTATGGCCAAGCCACAAGGGCAGAGCTACCCAAGGCCTTGGGAGCCTACCTTTCACACAAGTGTATCTTGAATATAGAACATGGAGTCAGTCAAAGGAAATTATTTGGGGGCTTTAAGATTTAATGACCACCTTGCTGGGATTAAGACTTGCAAGGAACCTGTAGACCCCCTTTTTTGTCATTTTGGAATGAGACTATTTACCCAATGCCCATAACCCCGTTGTATCCTGGAGGTAACTGATTTTTTTATTTTACAGGCTCCTACGTGAAAGAGACTAGCTTTACCTCAGATAAGACTTTGGACTTTGAACTTTTGAGTTAATGCTGGAATGAGTTATGACTTTGGGGATGGTTGGGAAGTCATAATTTTATTTTGCAATGTGAGAAGAACCTGAGATCTGGAAGGGAGGGACCAGGGGCAGAATGATATGGTTTGGCTCTGTGTCCCTGCCCAAATTTCATGTTGAATTGTAATCCCTAGTGTTGGAGGTGGAGCCTAGTGGGAGATGATCATGGGGGTGGTTTCTCTTGAATGGTTTAACACCATCCCCTTGATGCTGTCCTTGTAATAATGAAAATAAATTCCCAGAGGTCTGGTTGTTTAAAAGCATATATGATATGGTTTGGATATATGTCCCCACCTGAATCTCATATCTAATTGTAATCCCCAATGTTGGAGGTGGGGCCTGGTGGGAGGTGATTGGATCATGAGGGCAGCTTTCTCCTAAATGGTTTAGCACCTTCCCTCTTCGTTCGGTCCTCATGATAATGAATGAGTTCTTGCGATACCTGGTTGTTTAAAAGTGTGTAGCACCTCCCAGCCTACTCTCTCCCTCCTGCTATACCAATGTGAAGTGGTGGCTCCCCCTTCTCCTTTTGCTATAATTGTAAGCTTCCTGAGACCTCATCAGAAGCCAAGTGGATGCCTGGCACCATGCTCCCTGTACAGCCTAGAGAACTGTGAGACAATTAAACTTCTTTTTTCTTTTTTTAATAACTTTCCCAGCCTCACCAGGCACGGTGACTCATGCCTGTAATCCCAGTACTTTGGGAAGGCAAGCAGGCAGATCACCTTAAGTCAGGAGTTCAAGGCCAGCCTGACCAACATGGAGAAACCCCGTCTTTACTAAAAGTACAAAATTAGCCAGGCGTGGTGGTGCATGCCTGTAATCCCAGCTACTTGGGAGGCTGAGGCAGGAGAATCACTTGAACCCGGGAGGCGGAGATTGCAGTGAGCTGAGATCGTGCCATTGCACTGCAGCCTGGACAACAAGAGCAAAACTCCATCTCAAAAAAAAAAAAAATTACCCAGCTTCAGGTATTTCTTTGTAGCAGTGCAAGTATGGCCTAATACATATGTGGAATAGAAAAATGTCTTACTCATGGAAGCAGAGAGCAGAATTGTGATTTCAGAGACTAAGCATTGGGGGAAATGGAAATATGTTCATCAATAAGAACAAACTTTTAGTTATGGAGCATAATTTCTAAAAATCTATTATACAGCATGGTGAATATAGTTAATAATAATAAACCATATACTTGAATTTAGCCAAGAGAGTAGATTTCAAGTGTATTCCTCACAAAATAATAAGTATGTGAAGTGATGTATATGCTAAATCACTTGATTTGGCTATTCCATTATGCATATATATAAAAACATCATGTTATATATCATAAATATACAGTTGTTACTTGTCAATTTAATGTTTTAATGAAGAAGAAAAATATAAGTTCATGAAACCTAAAATTTGAAATCAGATAAAAATATTTACTTTCACACTGAATTATGAAAGCTTCTTTAAAACATTATTGCATGTTAAAAATAATCTGAATATGATGTAGGTGGGCATATCTAAATTCATAGACATTGATGTTACAAGAAAGAACTATCTAATAGGCAAAGCTTTCACAAGATTGTTACATGATTTGAGATATCTCTCTTCTGAAAATATTTGGCAGAAACCCTTGGTTTGTATGCAATAGCATTCCCCAAATTTTTGTTTCTCACCACCTCACAAAATAAAAGCAAGTAAAATCAAAGCTTGCTTCTAGTACCTAGAGTGTCTATTGTACACTTATGGCCAATGAGATGTGAAGGAAAATCTATAAAATGTGGGGAGGGGGTGTAAAAAATAAAGAATATGTAAAGAGAATACATCTCTCTTGCTCTTTCTTTTACTTTCTCATTCTCTATCTCTACATCCCTCCACTTACTCTCTTCCCCTTTTCCCTGAATTTCCCACTACTTTCTGCCATTGCATACAGTGAAGTATGTGTGATGTCTAGACATCCAGTGGCCGCTAGAGCAAATACTAGATCAAAGTTGAAATGTTCAGAGAGGGACTGAACAAGCAATCTTCTATTTTAAATTTTTTGTAAGATTAGATAAGGAATACTTCATATTGACATACTGTGGTTCCTCAGATATCAGATACTTTGTTAATTGCAGCCATATTCAGTCCTAATATGTACATAATTAAACAAATATTGGATATCGATCTGACTTATTTTTGTTTTTAATGAAAAAAATAATCCCACTGCAGTGTCTTTTATGATAGATGTTGCATCCAAAGCTTCCCCTAGATTGGGAATTCACCATATATCTATATATCTATATCAATTATTATACAGAAATATGTATATATCAACTACTATATATATACACATACACCAAAAAACACATACACACACTATATTTCCTATAAGGTGAAATTCTGTGAAAGTAGGCAATGATAAATTATTCAAATTAGTTATTTTCAAATAGTGCCAGATTGTCATATTAAGTAACTATTTCATATAATTGAAAAATTCCTGAGAAAAATACAATTTTAAAAACTATAATAAATAAAAAAAACTTTTCACATTGACCTTGTAACATTGTTAAAATATAAACAGTTACATAGATTATACAAGTAGAACACAGTAGAAAGTTCTAAGGTATTGACTACAGATATTAGTCAAATGAATGTTCATCTCAATTTGCCTACATTTTCTCAAATTCTTAGCTTTACGAAACTTTCAAAGAAATGTTTTCACTTCTAGCACCGTACCCCCAATTAATTGTGTAATTCCAGAGAATAACCTGATAATTATATGTTTTGTGAAGCTTAGTATTTTTTAATCCTTTTGCTAGCTGACTAACAGAAGTTTATACAATGAGAAGTATAGACCATTAAAAAAAAGTTTTTCTGTTTATCCCACTTAAAATTTTATTTTTGGCTGAGTGTGGTGGCTTAAGCCTGTAATCCCAGCACTTTGAGAGGCCGAGGTGGGTGGATCACGAGGTCATGAGTTCGGGACCAGCCTGACCATCACGGCGAAACGCTGTCTCTACTCAAAATACAAAAATTAGCTGGGCATGGTGTCCGCGCCTGTAATCCCAGCTACTCAGGTGGCTGAGGCAGGAGAATAGCTTGAACCCAGGAAGCAGAGGTTGCAGTGAGCCGAGATCTAGAGATTGCGCCACTGCACCACAGCCTGGGCGACAGAGCAGTACTCTGTCTCAAAAAATAATAATAATAATTTTTGATTGATGTTTACATTGATTAATAGATGACACGTTAGCTGACATACTTAAATTATGTGTAAGTAACTTTAGTAAAATTATTTTATTTAAGAGAGTTAATAGTATTTTACCATACACATGCCCACTAGTACATGCACAGAGCATTTCATGCATGAGTCATTGATATCTCTAAAATAATATTTACCGCCTAAAGTTGTAAAACGTAGCATTTTTCAAAGCATAAAAAGAGACAGATATATCATATGGAGATTTTATTGTTTGGTTCTTTCTTACTGACACAGATCATGCAAAGAGGGATAATGTATTATCAGGTGATTATGGAAAAGTCCAAGTGGAAAAAAGCGTCTGGCTATATGTATGCAGACCCTACTTTCAATAGCTAGATGCTCATTTTGTAATGCAATTAGATTTGAGCAAAAATATAAGAAGCTCACACATTCTCCTTTCATAATTTCATATTTTTATATTAGAAAATAGAACAATTTGTGCTACAATATCCCCTAGGTTTTAGGAAACCAGAGACTCACTTAACATATTATGTCTATAATTGTCCAATTTATTTTATAGCTCCCAATTGTCTTAGGGGAACACCCGGTCAAAATATAAATAGAATTGTGAAGCAATCTCATTTCTTTGTACCTTGTAGGCCTGGAATATGTCACCTTAGTTATACAGTAAGTATACCAAACCAATATTCAAAATTAGGATATCTGTTGACTTTATAGCTGCAACACAAATTCTATATACAGATTTCAGTGAATCAATAATTAGCACAAGTGCAATAAATGAGCAAGGCCCAGTGGAGAACCTGAAAGAAAAAAGGGTAGATTATAACTTATTTGAACTGACATCACAAGATAGATAAAGCAAAATTGCATCTTTCAGAGTAGAAATGGACTATGAATCATATGGAAGGATTTCATTTTCAGCTTTCTCACAAACTAGCTATGTGAAAGTAAACAGGTAAGTTGACCTCTTCAGGCCTCATTTTCCTCTGATCTAATGAGATTGAGCAAGAGGCTACAAACTCTAAGACTATGAAGCCATAACATGAATTCCAATGACAAGCTATGAGAGGCAGTTTGTGGAAAGCATTAAAAGTGCACTAAAAAAGTTCAGGAGAAGAATCTCGTGGACGTTAAGGAAAGCGATGACCATAGCTCCAGGACAAAAGGATCCCTGATATTTTCCAAAGGTTGTCTTTGGAGCAGAGTAGAGAAATCAGGCTAACTAATAGTATCAGAGTTGGAAATGAGGAAGGAGCAAGGCATTCCGGGACACAAGAGTAAAAAAAGTTAGAAGAGCAAGATGCGTATTTAGTGGTTAATAAACAGAACATTTTAAGAGAAAGAACTTTATCAGGGAAAGCAGGGGGGATAAAGATGGATACATAGACTGGAGAAAATAGTATGTGGGAGGCCTTCAATGGCATGGTAAATCAGCATTTTTAGAAACATCATTCACACTTTCTTGTTTCCAATTCATAGCTGAAAATGTAATGTACCTTTTACTTTATTTTTTAAGGGCAAGGTATTTCTTAAAAATACTATGTGCCTCTAAATGTTGTTTAAAATAATAAGACTCCTCATTGTCACAGGAGAGTATGTGAGAAAAATATTGGTTTTATTGTGACCATATCCACAATTAATCTGGAGGCAGGGATTATCAGTATTACTCCTTAAATGACACTCAAGAAAAAGAGTCCAATAATTAAAACTTACATCTCCTAGTAACCACATTTAACAGTACCCATTTTTTTTCTAAACAAAATCTGTATAAGTTTCCTTTTTCGAGAAATGTCTTTAAAATGTCAGGGGCTTTATTAAAGTCAGAGACTATGATATGATAAATTTCATAGATCATAAATTAATTTTCTCTCATTGACTCTTATGTTCAATTTATGTAGATGACAAGTACACTAGAAATAGATGGCTATTTTTCAGTTTTCTCAATGTTGAAAACCTCAGTTTGGAATCTGGGAAAAAATAAACAAAAACTTCCATATTTTCACCTCCTGCTACCTATAAAAAATCAGAAAAATTTAACATTAACTGATAATTTAGATAATGTATGAGGCAGGCTAGGATTCTGCTCAGTCTGCTGTGAATTTTTAGGTCTGCAGTGATAACAATATTTTGTCATAAAAAGAAGCAGAAGAGATTAGGAAACACAGAGACAGCTGATAAAATGGATTACATGGATACAGCTTACATATAATATTAACTTTTCTGTTCAAATTGCACCCTATGCTTTTTGATTAGAGCTTTTAATACTAGTGATATAATGGGAAAGGGTGCTGAAATTAAAGATACATACACCCATGCATAAAACAAATAACTAGCATAATAATTATAAAATGATATTTTATATCCCTTATCATTAAAATATATATGGATACATTTGTAGTTAATGGTAATGGCAATTTTGTATAAATATGAACTCAAAATAACTAAATTATTTATTTATGTATTTATTTTGAGACAGAGTCTCACTCTGTCACCCAGGCTGGAGGGCAGTGGCATGATCTCAGCTCACTGCAACCTCTGCCGCCCAGGTTCAAGCTATTCTCCTGCCTCAGTCTCCCACGTAGCTGAGATTACAGGTGCCCGCCACCATCCCCAGCTAATTTTTTGTATTTTAAGTAGATACAGGGTTTCCCCATGTTGGTCAGGCTGGTCTGGAACTCCTGACCTCAAGAGACCCACCTGCCTCAGCCTCCTAAAGTGGTGGGATTACAGGTGTGAGCCACTGCGCCCAGCCTCGAAATAATTAAATACTTTAAAAAAGTATTTCTTCAAGCTCTACTTGGGTCTCTAAAAAAAAAAAGATAATTTAGTCATAACTTTGAGATCTTATGACTAGAACTCATCTTACGGGGACAGGACACTACAAAGACAGTAAAAATGGATGAGAGTGTAGAGAAAGGATCTCAGCTGGCATATGGACATTCCATTACTTGATTATCAAAACGGACATAAGAAATTGGATGAAGTTGGTCGGGCGTGGTGGCTCACACCTGTAATCCCAGCACATTGGGAGGAAGAGGTGGGTGGATCACAAGGTCAGGAGTTCGAGACCAGCCTGGCCAACATGGTGAAACCCTGTCTCTACTAAAAAAACAAACAAACAAACAAAAAAATTAGCTGGGCATGGTGGTGCATGCCTGTAATCCCAGCTACTCAGGAGGCTTAGGCAGGAGAATCACTTGAACCCAGGAGGTGGAGGTTGCGGTGAGCCGAGATCACACTATTGCACTCCAGCCTGGTGACAGGGTGAGACTCTGTCAAAAATAAAATAAATATATAAACAAATAGATAGTACAAAGTCTGTACTAGGGAGGTTTAATATGACAGATGAGACAGAGGAGTGAAAATCTGGATTGCGGAGGAATATGGAAAATTAGCCAACTACCTGCCTATTCACTTTGTACTCTAAGTAAGCTAAGCGGTTTGGGTGGAACTGCAGGTGACATTTCAGGAGAAGGCTTAGCATGATATGAAGATTTCAGCCCTCATACTCACCCTCTTTACCCTACTAAAATGAAATTTGGGTAGAATTTCCCCCCGCCCCCAGAGTAGACAGTGAAATACAGCAAGGAAACTAGGCTAAAGTTCAGTTTTATATGACACTTCAATTCAGCAAGGGTATAGTAGAGTTACGGTGAGATTCTATGGACATATAAGGGCAGGAACCTTAATCCTGGCATTCTGAACACTGGGAAATCTACAAGGCCTACTCAAGGACAACTGAGAAGCTCACACATTTCTCAGCCTGTTACCTGAAATGGCACAGGAAATTGGTATGGTTTAGTGTATCTTTGAAAGACAATAATGAACCCATCTTTAAAGGGCTGAGCTAAAATGTCTGTCCCACATTCAAATTTTAGGAAGTAAAACAGGTTTATTCCACGAATTTTGAATTGAATGTAATTTCACAGATATTCAGTTATTTTTATTTCTTTTCTGGGCTTACCCATCCACCACACAAATACACAATAATGTTTATGATTCTGTTGGTATTCGCGCTCCTTTGATGACCTCCTAACTTCACCTCCTGTTTGCTTCCCTGCAGAGGGCAGGAGCATGACAAGAAAGAAAGAAAACAGACTTCAGTGTTAGATAGATTTTGGGTTTGACTTTCAGCTTGGTATTCACAAGATGTGAAACATTATGGAAAGTTAAGAACTAGGCAGTGTTTATTGAGAACTGCTGCCTCGCATTGTCCCAGGTAGTTTACAGAAACTAAATTTACCCTAACAACATTAAAAGGTAGGTGCTATTGTTTCTGAAAAAGACTTGGTCACAGAAAAACATTAAGTAATTTGAACAAAGTTAAGCAGCTAGAAAGTGGCAGAGTCAAAATAAAACACAGGCCTTTTAAACCTACAGCACCCTTTTTATCACTGACCTTTATTCATTAAGCAATCTGTGTCTCAGATTCTTACATACACAGTGAAGACAATGATGATTACCTCCTCAAATGTTATATGGAATAAATAATATAATGTGCATAAAAATTACTGGCATGTGTATATGTGCCACATTTTCTTAATCCAGTCTATCATTGTTGGACATTTGGGTTGGTTCCAAGTCTTTGCTATTGTGAATAGTGCCGCAATAAACATAAGAAAATGTGGCACATATGCACCATGGAATACTATACAGCCATAAAAAAGGATGAGTTCATGTACTTTGTAGGGACATGGATGAAGCTGGAAACCATCATTCTCGGCAAACTATCACAAAGACAAAAAACCAAACACCACATGTTCTCATTCATAGGTGGGAATTGAACAATGAGAACACATGGACACAGGAAGGGGAACATCACACACTGGGGCCTATTGTGGGGTTGGGGGAGCAGGGAGGGATAGCATTAGGAGATATACCTAATGTTAAATGACCAGTTAATGGGTGCAGCACACCAACATGGCACATGTGTATATATGTAACAAAACTGCACGTTTTGCACATGTACCCTAAAACTTTAAAGTATAATAAAAAAAAAAGAAAAAGAATTACTGGCATGTGAAAGACACTCGAAATATTAATTCATTCTCAATTCTTTCTACCAATCATAAAATATCTAGAAATAAATAAAAAATATATTAAGTAATCTGCTATTCAAAGGTATCCAAGAGTACCTTTAAGAGAAGTTCCTTTTTTTTGAAAAAGAAGAAGAAAGCTATGCTAGGAGAGTATTTGTAAGTTTGTATTCTTATATATTTCATTTTCTTACTGTTTGGTTAAAATTAGCATTCAAATCCTGAGGGTGCTGTTCTTTTACTATTTCCTAAGTCTTGCAACATGGAATATTATTTCAACTGTCCATAGTATTTGTATCTTGTTGCAAATTATATACTTTAAAACTTTTTTATGTGCCCTAGGTTCTGCTATGAGGAAATGTTACCTGTTCTGATTTGGCAAAGACTATTGAAATAATGATATTACTTATGCTACAATTATAAAATTGCTCATTTGGGGCCTTTCTTAAAATTTGATATTATTATTGATTGAGGGTACTCCATTGTGATTTCAAAATGCACTTGAAATCTCATTTTATGGATATGTAATTTTCTTACCTTTTTGCTTCTAGCTATCTGACCGCTTATGTTGCTTCTGATAATGGCATGTTTGGGTGCATATCTTGTATTTATTTTTCAACCTGTTACTTTAATAGCTTTGCATTTTGTTCCTAGTTGCAATGCTTTCCTATGTGCACTCTTTGTATTGAAACTGAATATTTTTGACATAGGAATTCCTTTTGTTTATTTTTGATCACATTTCTTAACCTCTCTGCATATCAGAAACTGCATCTTTTTGTTTTATCAGGTATATTCATCTCTTCAAAATTAGACTTGATCAGCAATGGTAATTAACATAATTTTTCCACTTCTTAGTCCAATTTTGAGTCCTTCATTAAATGTCATATCTGAGATTCTTGCAAATTCAATGTTTAGGTGCAAACATGTAGGGAACGGATGGAACAATCATGAAAGATTTTCCAGTTTACGATTGAGCTTTCTATGCCATTATTTCACAAGTCTTAAACACTTAGGCAAAGAATTAAGATATTGCTGTCTCTGTGAAACTTTCTAAAATAACGGTATTTGCCTCATATTATTGTAAATAAAACATTTAAGACCCTCTGTTGTGTCGTCATTTTGTGAAACTGCATTATCTCTCTGGAAAGTATTTATATAGAAAGGCAGAACATTCTCTAATAGCTTCAGACCATTTGTTTAGCGCTCTCTGAAAAGTGACAGTCTCTTTTGTGCTTAGAACAAGTCCCCATCCACATTATTCCAACAGGTGTATTAGTGCTGGAAGATTGTCAGGTGGATAATGAGAATTCAGTGACTTGAGAAGGCATGTCATATTTCCGAAAATGATGGAAAGTCATTTTCCTCCCCTTTCCCAGAGAGGATGTCTTATTTTCCTGCACACTTCTGGCATCACATTAGTCACACGTTGCTTGATCTGGTCAAATTCATCAAATGAACGATTTTCATCAATTATGTGACAGTTTATATTGTCCAAACTTGTCATGAGCCCCACTGATTTTTCAGCATGTTTCCACAATGCATCCAATGCCCTTAATCCACAACTGCAACTCAGCGAGACGTGCAGGAGTCATGATGGAAACATTGATACCTAGAAAAGCTTTCTCCCACTTTGTTCCATCAGACGAACTCCTGTTCATTCTTTCAGATTTTAACACAGGGGGTCAGCCCAATCAGGAAGCTTCACTCGATTTCTCTATCCATGTCCACCCACACTCTCGGGCTGAGGATAGCTCTTTTTTTAAAAAAACAATTTACCCCTTGAAAGCACTCTGTTTACTCACCTATCATAGCACTTCACACAGTTTGATAACTTGTCTATTTTCCAAAGTAAATTGCAAACTCAATGAGAACTTTGGTTCTATATGTAAAAAGAAAATCATCAGATGTCTGAAGGCGTGACATATTTCAAGCTATATTTTATTACAATGAGGGCTTCTTTGAATCCATTCTGTTGGTTTCTGGGGTGCCTGCTTGCCGTGGTATACCAGCAAGTTGTTTAATACATTAACTAAGGAAGGTGCTCATCTTTTACTTACTATTTTTCATTTAGTGTTTCTCTTTATCTTTTAGGATAACTTACCTAACTTCCAACTTTTCTACTGAGTACTTCGTTTCTGTCTTGAATGAGGTGCTTTGTATCCTCTGATGATTCCTTTTATTCTAAAATTATGTTTCCATTTTTTCTGTGTCATACCTTTTCTTATCTCTTTGGCTGAATGTTGAGATTGAAGCAGGAGGATTGTCAGCTGTATGAGGAATGGTATCAATGAAATAAATAGGAAGCAATCTATTAAATGTTATGATCACAATATGAAACTGTTTAGAGATGTAGTGAAGAGTTTAGAGACAATTTGCTGATGAAATCTAAAAAAAATGTGAGAATAACAAAAGTAAAATATTAAATAAGTGGAGACTTAAGCAAATGACATACTCAGAATGTATTATGCAGCTCACTTGTAAATGCTTGCTTTAATAAATATAACACAATACTTAATACATTCTATAATTTTAAAAATTACTGAATTTTGTAACAAAATATTAATGTGTAATATTAGCATATGGGAATGATTGAGGGTATAGATATAAATATGAAAGTATTAATAGAAGAACTAAATTATAAAAAGTTAGTAAAGTAAAAAATATAATTTTTTAAAATCAATAAATATATTTTAAGTATCATATTTGAAATAAAATTATCAATATCAGAAAATAATACTTAAAACATTTTTTAATTATTGAGAGAGAATGTCTTCATAAATCAGAGAACTGGAAAGGAAGGAGAGGTGCTTGAAGTTTTGTCAAAAGACTTGCAGTGCTAGATGAATAGTAATAGAACAATTTGTATTATTTTATAGCAATTGACTTTTTCTTCAATGTTCCAGGATACATGTGCAGGATGTGCAGGATTGTTACATAAGTAAACATGTGCCATGGTGGTTTGCTGCATCTATCAACCCATCATCTAGGTATTAAGACCGGCATGCATTAGGTCTTTTCCCCAGTGTTCTTCCCCACCCTGCCCTCCCCAACAGGCCCCAGTGTGTGTTGTTCCCCTCCCTGTGTCCATGTGTTCTCATCCTTCAGCTTCTAAGTGAAAGCATGTGGTATCTGCTTTTCTGTTCCTGCATTAGTTTGCTGAGAATAATGGCTTCCAGCTTCGCCCATGTCCCTGCAAGGGACGTGATCTCATTCCTTTTTATGGCTGCATAGTATTCCATGGTGTATATATACCACATTTTCTTTATACAGTTTACCATTGACGGGCATTTGGGTTGATTTCATGTCTTTGCTATTGTGAATAGTGCTGCAGTGAACATATGTGTGCAAGTAGCTTTGTAATAGAACGATTTATATTCCTTTGGGTATATACCCAGTAATGAGATTGCTGAAAAATTGACTTTTAATTAAAAGTAGGCATCTATTGTCTCTTTCAGACAATATTATTGTCTAAGATTTTACATTTTAGTCCAAAATATTAATTTTATAGTAAACTAAGTTATTTTGGAGGTATACAGGTTTTTAAGGTTTATACGTCTAATTTTTGGAATCTAATATGTGCATATAATCTATTATGTTCTAGTAAATAGAAAACTAGAAGATAAGTAAGAAATAAAACTTTTCTCCATGTCCCCTCTTATCTAGCAGGATTGCATATATGCATGTGTGTATGTTGAGTGTGTTTTGTATTAGTGGAATAGGATGAGCATTTAAATGTCTAACCAAATAAAAAATAGAAATGAACAAACTATATCATAAATACACAGCAATTAAAAAATACCTTTAGTGCCTATGAAGGCAAAAACAGTTTTTTGTTTCTTCCTTTGTGCTCTATGCAACTGAAATTTTTTGGTTACTTTTTTCTAATTACATGTCACATGCCTCTCTTGTTATCCTTACAACCACTAATGCCTCCTCAGGTGAGGCAGATACAAGCCATTGAACCAGCTTCTATCCTTCAAGGAATGTATGATATTTGCAAAGAAATTAGTAATATCATGTCATTCAATTTCCCTGTCATTTGTTTATGGCTGAGTTAAAATGTGTACTTCTTGCAGCTTAAGGAAGTGTTTTGGATTCACTGACTTTTTTTTTTTTTTTTTTTTTTTTTTTTTGAGGCGGAGTCTCCCTGTCTCCCAGGCTGGAGTGCAGTGGCGCGATTTCCGCTCACTGCAAGCTCCGCCTCCCGGGTTGACGCCATTCTCCTGCCTCAGCCTCCCGAGTAGCTGTAGCTGGGACTACAGGCGCCCGCCGCCACGCCCGGCTAATTTTTTGTATTTTTAGTGGACACGGGGTTTCACCGTGTTAGCCAGGATGGTCTCTATCTCCTGACCTCGTGACCCGCCCGCCTCGGCCTCCCAAAGTGCTGGGATTACAGGCGTGAGCCACGGCGCCCGGCCTGACATTTCTAATAGTGCATGTATTAAGATGAAGAAGGAGGAGGATTGGAGAACTGAGTAAAGGAAGAGGAGGACGAAGAAAGAAAAAGAAACCGAGGGACCATTTTAAATAAAAGATAAATCAAGAGAAAACTGTCTTACCAGATTGCATTCCCCAAAGTGAGGTTAGTGTTTTATTTGAAAGTCATTTGCTGTGTATTTATAAATTTATTGTGATTCTGGATGCTTGAAGTTCTTCCACAATATCTTTCTTGTCTTCTTTTGGCCACTTCTCCTTCCTCTTGTAACTCCCCTCCTTTGCTCTCTCATTCTCCTCCTCTACATGTCCTCCTTACCATTATTTTTCCCGTTTTCTCTTTGTTTTTCTATCCCCTCCTCTCTTCCTTCCTTTGTAACCCCATGAACATTTCCACCAGTCAATGATGCTTCCAGACATTATAACAGCGAGAGCACCAGGAATTGTTCAGTTTATGTTGAGGCAGCCTGCTAAATTGCAACTCTGTGAGAGAGCTTCTTCCCAGAGAGCTAGTGCGAGACATTATATCCAAATGCTACACACCTGCCATGCTCCTTAGACTAAATGAAGATAATCCTTCCAATGACAGCCTGTTGATAAGTATTCCCAGGTCCAAAATGCAACCCAGATTCTAATTAACCTGATTAAACCTGTTGTGTATGACTCATTTTTTTTCTTCCTTTGATCAAGTTGTCATTATCTATTTGGAAATTCATCTTTTTTCATGTTATTTACTAGCCAGGATTTGTCACAAATAGATAGAAGCAACACAAAGCATCTACTTTTATGTTTCTATAATCTTCCCTGGTGCCATTACTCTTTTTACATGTCAAAAGCAATGACATCCTCAACAAGCTTGAGATCTAAGAGTATAATTATGACTTACCAGTGTCTAAAATTATTTGTGCAGAATGCGTGGAGATGCATGGTGTTCAGACAGCCAGGATTAAAGAGAGCACACTCTGACTAATAAACATATTTTTTATATTTTTTTTCATATGGGTGAGCAGAAAAAGTTGATCTCATGGAGGTAGATAATAGAATTGTAGTTACCAGTGCCTGGGAAGGTTGGAGAGGGGATAAAGAGAGGTTAGTTAATGGGTACAAACATATATTTACAAAGAAAGAATAAGTCATAGCTTTCGATAGCAGAGTAGACTGATTATAGTTAACAATATATTGTATATTTCATAATAGTTAGAAGAAAAGATTTGAAATGTTCCCTTACAAAGAAATGATAGGTATTTGAGACAATACATATCAAAATACTCTGGTTTGATCATTACACATTGTATGCAGCTATCAGAATAACATATGTACCCCATAAATATGTATGATTATGTATTAATTAAAAAATTAAAAAAATAAAAATACAAGTTGTCAAATTGTGTAATTCACTCTTGTAAAATAAATAAAAAGTGAAAATTAAAAGCCAAAACAATAATTCACTCTTAATCTTGGCCATTCTGCAGAGTATGCTCATAGAAGAGATGACCTACACAGAAGTGCAAACACAAAGCCTTGGCCATTTGTGCTGCTTTAAATATTAGTTGCGGAAACTTAGCTGCCATGTTTTTACTGATGTTCAACATGCAAGTCATTTATTATTGCCTTAAGTATTTCAACAACGAAGAGTAGAAAAACTAATACAAGGTGTAGACTTTTGCTTTCACAGTAGCTTCAACCTTGGTGATCAAAACATACTTTTATTGTGTTTTTTTTTTTTGCCTGTTGTTTCTTTTTGACAGGGGATCAGATACACAGAACTCAGTTATCCTTTGGTAATAATGCAGTATCATAATTAAATTTTGCATTTATCTTTTTATTTTTATGTTTAGATTTTCAAATGTTTATGTATTAAATATATATTCACATAATTATTTTAAATATTATAATGAGTAGTGTTGAAATTATTATTCCTCAAACTAACCCATTATAAATAACTTGCATCTAGACATGTATATCTCCATTTTCTTATCTGCCTTCCTCCACCAAGTGGTAACATGAGTTCCTCATTTATTTATCATTCTCTTACTGGTTAATGTATTTTTACCACACACATATATTTCTTGGATCTGCTTTAAAAATATTTATGTACTCTTATGTGATTTGCTTGCTTGATGGCCTATCATATGGTCTATCTTGGAGAAAGTTCCATGCACTGTTGAATAGAATGTGTATTCTGCAGTTGTTGAATGAGATGTTCTCTATATATCTATTAAGTCCATTTGTTTGAAGGTATAGTTTAAATTCATTGTCTTTTCGACTTTCTGTCTTGATGAGTTGTCTAGCGCTGTCAGTGGAGTATTGATGTCCCCGACTATTATTGTGTTGCTGTCTGTCTCATTTCTTAGGTCTATTAGTAATTATTTTATAAATTTGGGAGCACCAGTGTTAGGTGCATATATGTTTAGGATTGTGATATTTTCCTGTTGGACAAGGCCTTTTATATATAAAGAGGGAGATTAAATAAATAAATTTTTTTATATAAAGAGGGACATTATTTATATGTCCCTCTTTGTCTCTTTTAACTGCTATTGCTTTAAAGTTTGTTTTGTCTGACATAAGAATAGCTACTACTGCTTGCTTTTGGTGACCGTTTGCATTTAGGCAATTTACATTCAATATTAGTAGTGAGACGTGAGGTATGATTCCATTCATTGTGCTATCTGTTGCATGTATACCTTGGTTTTTCTTTAATGCACTTTTGATTAATTGAAGTTTTAAAGTTTGTTTTTAAAACTATGCCAATATTTTCTTCTTGTGTTTAGCTTTTTTTTCCTGCCTTGATTAAGAAATCCTATTTACAAAAACATAAAAATATATTTTTTAAAAAATTAGCCATTCCTCATATACAGTATTGGTTTTTAATAGGGTCATATATGCAATTCATGGGGGAAGGAAAGTATTTTCAATGAATATAATTGACACAATGCAATATTATAAAAAATGAACCCCTATTTTCCTATCTTACATTTTAAGAGAGTTATTTTGAGATTCATTATGGACATAAACATAAAAGCTAAAGCTATGTGGCTTCTAGCAGCAAACAGTATAATAGCACTACAATTTTAGGGTAAGCAAAAATTTCTTAAAGAAACCACAAAAAGCATTAACCAAAGGAAAAAATGTCAAAACAATAATGATAAAATTATCATGATTAAATATTATAATAATTAGAAAAGATGAGGACACATAAACAATGGTGACTTTAATCTTGTTAATGTAGTTTTCCAAGTAGTAAACTGAACAGCTAGGCAATTGGCAGTACTCCAATATTCAGTAAAAATATAGTAAAATTCATCAAGGGGAGTGTTGGCCAGTGCCATAAGGACAACTTAAGAGTTCTGCCCAATGAGCAGAGCAACAATGTCCATTATTTTCAATTCTGCATAGCTGGTGCTGGGTTTGAACAGATGCAACAGCCTAGTGGATACCATTGCATTTCAGTTTAGATAAACTATCAGTAAAACAGGACTAGGCATTTAGGAAAATCTGGCCAGCTATGCTCTCAAATATGCCATTTTCAGTATACAAGTGCATTTCGATGGGCCCTTCCCATTTTGATAGTCAGTAAGTCTGAGTTGAGCCACCCCAAAATGGGAATATCAGGCCAGAGGCACGGGCCCTCTTGGGACAGACATTCCTTCTAACAAGAGCATAGTAACTATCTAATAACTGTTTTCTGGGGATGTACCTTGTAGCCATGTCATGAAGGGGATGAGTCAAAAGCTCGCGGTGGAGACAAGGCAGGATAGAAGCTGACATCCATTGCCTGAGGCTCCACATCAGTCATGAAAACATATTACTCGAAGTAGTAATTGGGGTTGTGGGGATCCAAAGGTAAAAAGCATGCTGCAGTTCATTAAGCAGTTTACAATGTAACCTGTGATTTGGTCTCCAATCAAAGGATGCTAATTTGCAGTTTAGCCAATATGAGAGACCAAATATTATAGAATGCCCAAGTGAGTCACAAACTGTCTCCAAAACCTAAAAGTGTTAACAAAGTGCTGGGTCTCCTTTTGGTAGTGTTGTGGGAACAGGATAGAGCAATTTTCTTTGAATGCCAGAGGAACTAACAGTTTTGAAGCCATCCACATAGTCTCAAGAAAATTTACTTGGTGAGTAGACTCCTGAAAATTGTCAGGGTTCATTAACCACTCCTACTGATGGAGGAAATATATCACCACAGTCGGGACCTTTGAGAATGAGACTGTCAACTTGTCAACCAACAGGACATCATTTATACTGTGTAGTTGAAAATTTTGGGCATCATAACTGTAGACATTCATGCCAAATCCTGACCCAGACACAGGTGGCAAATGGCATGAGTTTAGATACCTCTGTGAGAATATTTCAAATGTATATTAGAGGCTTTGTCAAATGAATGCAAATTGGTCTTGGTTCTTAGGTGCCTTTGGGATAGAAAAGAAAGAGCTGACAGTGTCTGAAACAGCATACAAAATGCTACCAGTTTGTGCAACAAATTCAGTTATATTGCAGTATCTTCACAGTCTCAATATTTGCAACAACTAGTACTATGGGTGCAAAAACGGAATTCAATTAGTTTTGTACTGTGAAACTCCAGCTCCCTTCATCTTCACAACTGACCGTATATGGTTGTATTGAGATATTGCATTTCATACTCTCTGTGATGTGGTTAAGTTCCTAAGCAAGGCTATGATTTCCCATTCTCTTCTTAAGATACTATGTTGTTTCTGTTGGACCTCCTCCATGAGGACAGTGAGACAGGTTGAGGAGTGACTTACATGTTTTATCAGCAGTTCTCTACATGCCATGGTCACTGAGTAAACAAATCGCTCTTTTACCCATAAGCATTTGTATTAGTCTGTTTTCATGCTGCTATAAAGGACTGCCCAAGACTGGGTAATTTATAAAGAAAAGAGGTTTGATTGATTCACAGTTCTGCATGGCTGGGGAGGCCTCAGGAAAACGGGGAAAAGCCCCTTATAAAACCATCAGATCTCCTGAGACTTTTTCACTACCACGAGAACAGTATGCAGGAAACCACCCCCATGATTCAATTATTTCTACCTTGCCCAGCCCTTGACACATGGGGATTATGACAATTCAAGGTGAGATTTGGGTGGGGACACAGCCAAACCATATCAGCATTCATAGTACAATCACGCAAAACATCGACATAAATAGTATATGAGAAGTGGAATCACAGATAACATAAAACTGGCGCATTTGCTAGTTGGTCACCTTATCGGCTTTATAAGCCTAGCAATCTAGGGCAGTATAAGCTTGCATACTAGATTTATTGTTTTCTCAAAATGCTTTTTTTTTTTCTTTTCTCTCAGGGAGACAATTCTCTTTGAGTGGGTCAAAGCTTCCTTATGGCACCCAGGACCCACTGCAAAAACAAAGCACAATAACAGAAAAACAAAAACGTAACACTGCAACCTTTTAGTTTCTTGTTCAAATGCATCTCAGGTTGGCATGATAGATTGCAAAAGAGGCTGAGTTCTTACTATTCTTTCTTATCAAGCATCATATACTTCCATCTCTTCATCTTCAAGCAACCTGACAAAAAATTAACAATTGGGGCCCAATTTATGTTCATAGCAATTGTGAAAAATGCTGTCACAATGTAGCTGTGTGTTTTTGTAAATATGGTGTAAAATGTGGTGGGGGATGTAGAAGTATCTGCCAATCTAATCAAATCTTTGTACTAATTATAATAACGAGATAAACCCAAGGATGATTACCAGATCAGTGAGGAAATCTCCCTGCCCAAAGTAGAGTTAGCACAGTCAGGGCACCATTTAGACAATTGTCTTCAGACCTCCTTTCTGGTACTCAGCTGCAAGCACCTCACTAGTGTCTCCTTGTAAGCACATTTTTAACCATACGATTTGATCAACATGTTACTGGTATTCTGGTGCACTTCTCTGAAATCACATAAAAGAATCTAGGCCTTCATCTTTCCTTTTCTAGCATTCTGTGTGTCTGTTAACATCTATCCCTGTTACAAAACTATCAAAAACTGTGAAAGATTTGATATTTTACTCGACTTGCAAAGTAACAACCAAGCCTGCCATAGTTTTACAGATTCTAGAAAGAAAGCAAAAGATTCCTGGGTCAGAGACAAAGGACAAGTGATTATTCACAGCAAGATCAGCAGCCATGAGAGGCCAGCAGTTGTGCAGAACCGCTGAGCCACACTTTCCACAGGGTGGTGAAAATATGGTCAGCTGATCCTTGTACAGGCAGTGGAATCCGTTAGAAGACAAGAACTTTGAGGTTAGGGAAACTGAATTTTAAATAATGAACAGTTGGTTTGCCCTGGAAGGAAACATTTTTTTTTATTATATGGACAGGAAGCAAATCTGCCCTTTGCTCCTGAGGTACACTATCTCTAATTCCCAAGGTTTTTCAATATACATTAAAAAGATAGTCCAGGACAAAAGCAGTCAGTACCTCTGCTCCCAAACATTCCAAAATGTGACAGGCCTCTGGCAAATATTCTCCCAACAAATTGATAAAACTTTTTGAGCATATCTTAAAAAGTTAAACATATACCTTTCCTGTAACCCAGTGATTCTTCTCCTAGGTATTTATCCAAAAGAAATAAAAATAGATGTTTACAAAATGCTTGTACCAAAATGGTTACAGCAGGTTTATTTATTGTTAACCAAAACGGCTCAACAGGAGAATGGATAAAAAAGTTTACAGTAGAATAGAGTTATACAATAGAGTACAGAGCAATAGATGAAACTTAAAAATATTCTTTGGAAGGAAAGAAGAAAGAATGAATATGTATGACTGCATTTATATGTAGTTCTGGAACAGACAAAACTAATCTCTGGTAATAAAAAGGCTGTGTTTGCTGGGTGGTTTAATCTGAGGAAAGGGATTAAGGAACTTTCTGCAGTGATGTATCTGTTAAAACTTATCTAACAATTCACTTAAGATCTATGAATTTTACTATGTGTGAATTATGCCAAATTAGTTCTTGAAATTCAGAGTAATCATTCAAAGTAATTTTTGCGTGCAAAATGTTGGCTAAAATTTATTAAAAATGATATGTAGGCTTGTGTTAGACACTGTGGCAATGCTTTACAAATAGCAACTAATTTAACTCTTAAAATAATATTACTATTATTATCCCCTTTTAAACATGAGGAAGCTGGAGCACAAAGTGGGCAAATACTTACTCAAGATATCACAGCTAGTAAGTGGCACAGCAGTGATTTGAAACCATTGATGCTAATTATTATTATTCTATGTGGATTTATAATGTCATACAGTTATGGTTAGTGTAACTGTGACGCATTTGAAGGAATTGATAAACACTTATTAACATGAAATAAGTCAATATTTATTACTATGAGTTTCTTTTTGGGAAGTTTTTTTTTTGCCTTAAGTATCTTCCCATATCATCAAGATAAATTGTTTATATCCTCCAGACCTGTCTTTTCCAATAACCAGTAACCACTAGTCTCACATGGCTAGGCTATTTAAATTTAAATTTAAAATGAATTAAATTAAAATTCAGTCATTCATTTACACTAGACATTTTCAAAAGCTTAATAGCCATATGTGGCTACTGGCATCCTATTGAACAGTACAGATATAGAATAGTTTCATCATGACAGAGAGTGCTATTGATAGCAGTAGGTTAGAATCATCAGATTTAAAGTGTGTACTCAGGCCAACAACTTAGGCATTACCTAGGTTTCTGCTAGGTTGTGGATCCCAGAACTACTGAATGAAAATCTGTGTCTTAAAATGATTCCCAAGTTATTAAAATGCATATTAATCAATACTTATAATCTGATATCAAAATTCAGTGATTAAATGTGATTCATGAATGTGTTGTTAATCTGATTTTGTAATTAAATTCTACTACTGATTAGATGCTAAGTTTCTTATTTTTCTTAGTCTATAATACATTAAACAATCTGATATATATCATGATAACTTGTACATGTAACAAAACTACATTATACAGTTTTACCACAATTTTATGACATGTCCATGAAGAATTTACAATTCAAATCTGTGCTGTAGTTTTATACATGAGAGTAACTATCAGAAATTTGGTTTTATGTGACTGCTAATCCCTGACTCCTGTGAGGATTCAGAATAATGGGATCTGGAAAAGAGCTTCATTTTATATTTGAGACAGCACAAAGAAATCAGATGCAGAAATAACATAGGGGTTAAAATTTGATCTCAGATCTTAGAATGCAAGTTCATAATCATGTATGTACTCTAAGGATAGCCACCTCTATACTTTCATTTACATTGAAAGAAGCTGTCATTTTTCATGCAATTAATGATACCAAAGCAACAAGCACAAATTCCAAGCATTTTTGTTTTGTTTATGATGATACTGAATTTAGTCGTTTTTGCCTGTATTAACCATTTTATTTTCTAGTATTTTAGAAAGAAGCTTCATCTTTAAAAATCTAAAAAGTTTTTGCTGTAGCTTGTAAAAAGAATTATATAGATAGAACTGATATTTTTCTTTACAGGAAAAACTTTATACCAGTTTTCCAACAAAATGGTCTTGAATTTAGTATAATATAATTCACATTTACTGAAGTATTCTATACTTATATGTTGCATGATATAAGCAATGACTGGTTGATGTAAAGTCATTAAAACATAAAATATTTAATAGTTTATCAATACTTCACGAATTGTTACATTTTGTTTGCATTGCCCTAAATCCTTAGCTTATAATAATATACATTTAAATTACCAGAAATAATAAATATTCTACCAAATCTTTCTTCCATGTTGCACTTCAGACATTTTTCAGATGGGGTTTATTAAATTTTCACACACAAATTACCATGTATGATCAACTGTTTTTCTCATCTATAATATTGCATTAACCTGGGCTAGAGCTAGTTGCTGAAGACAATTTTAATTTGAAGTTTTGTTTTTTGTGTGTGTGCAAAAGGTAGGTAGAGTATTAGTAGGGAGCTGAGTTATTAATAACCTACTGTGTGACAGGTACCTGTCCTATGTATTAACTCACTAAATATTGTCAAAAACCATGTGAAGTTGTTATAATTATCACCAATTTTAAGATAAGGTGTGGATATTCAAAGTAGCAGAGCTGATGAATAGAATTTTATAACAATTTTTTACTGTGAAATCATCCTCTATTTTCTGTATTTTCCTGCATTTTGTACTTTGCATTTTTAACCACCATTTTACCACGTGCCTAGAGAAGGAAAAACATCTCAGAAACTGCATCTTTCAAAAGTAGAGCCAGGGCTAATATGAACATACTCAAATGCACAGCTGCATGTAACTATAGGTTTGTTTAAAATGCTGAGACTATTTCAGATTTTCATTAAATTATCATCATCGTCTTACAGAATAGATGAAGGACTATTGCTTTTAAGGAACTGATCATTTACTAAGTATATTTTGTTTGCATTATATAAGTTTCTCTTAATATTCTTAAGTGATCTAAGTAATAAGCCTTGAAAACCTATTTAATGTTAGACATTGTACTGAGTAATTTACACATTTTTTCTCAAAATTATCACACCAAGTGTATTAGTCTGTTTTCATGCTGCTGATAAAGACATGCCTGAGATTGAGTAATTTATAAAGAAAATGAGGTTTAGTGGACTCACAGTTCCACGTGGCTGGGGAGGCCTCACAATCATGGCAGAAGGCTAAAGGCATGTCTTACATTGTGGCAGGCAAGAAAGAATGAGAGTCAAGCAAAAGGGGAAACCCCTTATAAAATCATCAGCTCTCATGAGACTTATTCACTATTATCAGAACAGTATGGGAGAAATGGCCCCCATGATTCAACTATCTGCCAACAGGTCCCTCCCACAATATGTGGGAATTATGGGAGCTACAATTCAAAATGAGATTTGGGTGGTGACACAGCCAAACCATATCATCAAGTTATATGAAATTTATTTCATAATCTCATTCTGAAAATGTTTTGCATATGCTTCAAAGAGTTTAAGTAACCTCCTCAAGTTTATACAACTAGTAAGTCGAAGGCCGGTATGCAGTTGTATCCCACTTTACTGTCAACTAAGAAAAGTCAGACTTTACCAAAGTCACAGAAAGCATGTGGCTTCAATGTGAGTACTAGTTGTGTTTTACTTGATTACCCAAGTGACCTTGATTTTTGCCCTACTTTTATAAACTGGAGTCTGTTTATTTCTGAATTTGCTTCCAGTTAGGCTTCTCATGAATATCAGTGAAGTGGTTGACAATGGGGAGAAAACCTGAGGAATGTCATTACTGTTCTGCTAGTTTCACCATCTATTAACTTTTGTGAAGGAAAGATCCATATAAATAAGGGTATTTGATGTAATTGTCATGCTAATATGCTATCCCCACTCATCCTTCTAATTGCTTACATGATATACATATATATTTGGATCTGATATTTTGTTTACTGAGGCTGATCGCTTAGTCTATTAACAGATAAATATTGACAGATGTCTGAGGGAGATAATGAGAAAAGGCATTTCTGAAGTTTCTTGCAATTTCATCTTAACTCATAAAGCCATTTTGTTATTCAGGCTTAACTACTCTACAGAGATAGAAGGGAAAACAAGATGTCTCTTTTATCCATATAATTGCTTTCTTTATTTCTATATAATTACTTTCCTTAAAACTTACTGCTAGAAGAAAAAAGGAGAGAGATTCTAAATTCTTAGTAAAACCTTTGTAACATTTCCAACAATTCAAAGTGAAAATTCTTCAAATGTTTAATTCAGGACAATTTTGTAGTAACTTTGAAGGTAATTCACTTTCATTATAGAATAATTATGAAATAAATACAAATGGACAAAATAACTACAGTTCTACAACTATTACTCAAGGTCATATGTATAACCTTGAACCATAGCAGTGCCTCCCCTCTACCAGTGCCTCCCATTCTACTCATGTCATGCAGCCTCCATACTGTGACAAACAGGATATATATATTTTGTTTATATTTTCATCTTAAGAGATGAGTACTCTGCCTTGAGTGAGCTCAAATGCATATTATTTCATATATATTTATATGGTCATATGTATGACCTTGAGTAATAGTTGTAGAACCATGGTTATTTTGTCTATATATGTTATTGTATTTATTTTTATTTATATACATTTTATTGTATTTACCTTTATCTATTTTATTGTATTTACTGTTAGCATTATTTTCTAAATGTAGATAATTTTTTTCTAACAAAAAGGATGATGATTCAATATATATAATTTGTATCCTCTTTCTGTTTTATGTAAATTACACATTGAATATAAATTTTTAAATTTTAATGCTTTAACAATTTTTTTCTTAAATAGCCATAGCTCCATGTACAGATTTCATTATAATCTTGAAATAATATACATTTGTATCAGTGAAAAAAATTATCACTTACAAATGAATGTTTATTCTCAAAGCCTAGGTTCTCAGACTATCTACATGTACATTCCAAATAATGGTATACCTACATGTAGATGAGAAAAAAATACTGCTAATTTTCTCAAAGGCATTTGAGAGGCAACATACACTGATTCTCTGAATTTCTGAAGTTGGGTAATACTGGGTTTATTGTGTGCTGATGCTGAGGAAATAAAGAGACTGAAACAACTTCATCAAGCACCTGGAATTGGTTAGTAATAGGCTGTGTAATTTTTTCCTGCATAGCGCTGCCAGCACAGTCCAAACCTGCTTACTTGCAATGTTCATTTTCACTTAAGGGCAGTCCAGAGTGGCACACCAAAGTATTTCTGATGCCAGAACTTCACCATCAGAGACAGCAGTCCTCTTCCCTGGCCTGGACAAGATCCCCAAGGTGAGTTCTATGATCTACGTGTGAAATTGGGTATGTCTACAAGCCTCTTTCAAATGAATGGGCTTCAAAGCATTGTAGATATAATATGTTTATGGATTCAGTCCACACTCAACAGATACTGAGCTCCTTCTATGTTCAAGGCAGATTGCTCATCTCTCAAGATGCGGGTATAAATAAGAAAAATATATCCTGTTTGTCACAGTATGGAGACTACATGAAATGAGTAGAATGTAAGGCACTGGTAGAGGGGAGGCACTCCTGTGGTTTAATCTATATTGCAGGTAGGGATGGTAGTTTTTTTCTCTTCATCTTCCTTAGATAGAAACTCCCACTAGAATCACCTGTGTAATTTATTTTAGAAAAGTAAATTACTCTAATTTCATTAAAAGTAGCCACTGCATTAGGGTCCTCTAGAGACAAAGAAGGTATTTTTCCTTATAAGCATGGTGTTAGGTCCGTGACTATGCCAAATATCATGCTCAGGGTCAGGTTCGAGGTCATGCTGAGGTTCAAGCAGAGCAGGTGTGTGGCAGATAGCTGAAAGAACACTCATGGGGACTGTAGGCAGGTGAAATGTGGTTTTATTCAGCAGCTGTCTCATCAGCAGCTTTCTTACACTGTCTTCCTTTATCTTGGCTATCTGCTCAGGCTCTGAGGCTCCTCTCAGCAATTGGCTCTGCGGCTTCTGCCACCCCATGGGTGCAGCTGCACTCCCTGGCCTGCAAGGCCAGCTACAGGGTCAGCAGCTTAACTCTTTCCCTCTGGGTGCAAGCTGGTTTCTGGCTACCCCCTGACCACCTCCAAGGCAACCAGCTATCCCTTACAGGAATCAGTAGCATTATTCTCTCTTTGGGCACCAGGGGCACCTGAGACATGTTGAGCCCTGTGAACAGCATCAGCAGGGCAGTTATACCTTTTTAAACAATAGTGGCTCCAAGGCAAGTATGAGTTTACACAAACAGGTTATATAACAAGTGGAGGTGTGTGCCTGCACCCTAAACTTGCTGAGTCACTCTTGACTAGATGTCTGACTCAGCCTATTCCTTAACCAAAGCACATCCATGTACCTTACAGATGGTTGAGTTTGCTGGGGAAAAAAACAAAAATCCTTTTAAGACTGTGGGAAGAAATGCTGCCACTGCCACCTGGGATGATACCTGGAGAAAAAAAAGGTTTCTATGGTTTTGGATCTATGAAGGGGGCTTCCAGGAGATGATGATGTTAAAGTATTTACAAAAATATCTTGAAAACAGAGCCACTGAAGCAAGAAAGTATGAAAGCAATTTTCTAAAACTGTGAACAGAAGTACATCTATAATTATAGGCATGTAAACTTGGAGCCCATTGGAGAATGTAAACACATTCTTTTTATCAAAAATGTTACAATGATAATGAAGAACATTTAATAAGAAAAGTAAGAAAAAATAATCCATATATTGTGAAATCAATTAGTTTTATTTTTCTGTATTTATTTTCCATATGTACTTTTGGTTGAAGCATTTGGTGGTCAATTTTTATTTGTTTGTTTTGAACCTGCACAGAAGAGTTTTCTAGATGTTTATATGACCTATCAGTATCATCTGACATAATTGATCATTCTCTCGGCCTTGATATTCTTTCTTTGGCATGCAAGTCACCAGCCTTTTTGTTTTTTCTCCTGTTCACAGCTTATGGTCAGTATCCTTAGTTGGTTCCCAAATTTCTCCCTAACACTTCAAGCTGTAGAAACCCAGAGCTTAGTGTCTGCTATCTTGTGCATATTATCTTCACTTTTCTATTGAGCTAATTGACTATTCTATAATAAAATACCATTAGTATCTTGAAAACCTCTTCAGTATATATCTCAGCTCCTCTTAAATGTCAAAGTCATATACTAAATTGCATACTTGATTTTGCACTTAGGTATCTAACACATATTTCAAACATAACTCATTTAAAATTTAACTCTTAAATTTCCTCTTCAAATCCTGCTCTACCCTCAACCTTCTCAGTTTATCCAATGGGAACTCAATCTTTTATTTGCTTCCATCAAAAAGCTTGAGCTTATTCTTGTTATCTCTCTTTCTCTTCCATACCATGTCAAATGTATAAAAAACACACGGTGGCTCATCTTTCAAAAGAAATTGTTATTTTGATGTTTTATCACTAACTTTTTAGCTAGTTTTCCAGCTTCCACCTTGACCACCTCCCACCACACACACACACACACGCACACACACACACACCATTCTACTTTTTCTATGGGGATTTTCCTATATAAATATACTATGGAATTTTGTTCATTATTTATTGTCTGTCTCTCTCTATATGTAAGTTCTAGTATGACTGTTGTTTTGTTTTGTTTTATTTGATAATGTATGTGTAGGCCCTAGAACATTGCCTGGCATTTAGGTGTTCAAAAATAATTATTTAACAAATGAATATGGCATGTGATGGTTTTATGAGGTAAGGCCCAGAATCAAAGTATAGATCGCTTTTTGATATTTTTCTTTCCAAATATCACAAGCTATCCATTAATATACAAGACATTTTGTTTTTGCCTCAGGAAAAAGAAAAAAGTATTTTGTGAAAGGTAGTGATAAATAAGGATGGTATGGCTTTTGTACTAATTTATGCTGAGATAAAGGGATTTGACATTTACTACTTCCATAAAAAGAATTTCTCCCTTTTTTATTTTTAATTTCGGTGGGTACATAGTAGGTGTATATATTTATAGGGTATATGAGATGTTTTGATGCAGCATAAGATGCATAATAATCACATCACGGTAAAGGGGTATCCATCACCTCAAGCATTTCTCCTTTGTGTTCCAAAGATATAATTATAAATTTAGTTATATTAAAATTTTCAATAAATTATATTTGACTGACTGTAGTCATCTTGTTGTATTATTAACTACTAGACTTTATTCATTTCATCTGTTTTGTACCCATTAACCATCCCCACTGCCCCCAGCTCAACTACCCTTCCCTGCCTCTGATAATTATCATTCTACTCTCTATCTCCTTGAGTTCAACTGTTTCAATGTTTGCCCCTACAAATAAGTGAGAGCATGCAGTTTGTCTTTCTGTGCCTGGCTTATTGTGCTTAACATAATGACCTACAGTTTCATCCATGTTGTTGCAAATGATAAGATCTCAGTCTTTTTATGGTTGAATAGTACCCCATTGTGTATATGTACCACATTTTCTTTATCCATTCATCTGCTGAAGAACACTTAAGTTGCTTCCAAAGCTTGGCTGTTGTGAATAGTTCTGCAATAAACATGAGAGTGCAGGTATCTCTTTCATATGCTGATTTCCTTTATTTGGGGTATATACCTAGCAGTGGAATTGCTGGATCATATGGTAGTTCTATTTTTTGTTTGTTTTTTGAGGAACCTCCAAACTGTTCTCTATAATGGTCATGTTAATTTCCATTTCAGCGAACACTGTACAAGGTTTCCCTTTTCTCCATATCCTTACCAGCATTCATTATTGCCTGTCTTTTGGATAAAAGCCACTTGAACTAGAATATGATAATATCTCATTGTAGTTTTAATTTGCATTTCTCTGATGATGAATGATGGTGAGCACCTTTTTATATGTGTTTGCCATTTGTATGTCTTATTTTGAGAAATGTCCATTCAGATCTTTTGCCCACTTTTTATTCAGATTATTAGATTTTTTTTCTATAGAGTTGTTTGAGCTCTTTATATATTCTGATTGTTAATCACATGTCAGATGACTAGTTTGCAAATATTTTTTCCCATTCTGTGGGTTGTCTCTTCACTTTATTGATTGCTTCCTTTGCTGTGAAGAAGCTTTTTAACTTGATGTGATTCCATTTGTCTAAAGTAGCTTTGGTTACTTGTGATTGTGGGGCATTACTCAATAAATCTTGTCTCAGACTAATGTCCTGGAGAGTTTCTCCAATGTTTTCTTTTAGTCCTTTGACTAAAAGATTAAAGTTGAGGTCTTAGATTTAAGTCTTTAATCCATTTTGATTGGTTTTGCATACTGTGAGAGATAGGGGAACAATTTCTTTATTCATGTGGATATCTGGTTGTCCCTGCATCATTTATTGAAGAGACTTTTCTTTATCCAGGGTATGTTTTTAGCACCTTTGTTAAAAATGAGTTCACTGTGGATATATAAATTTATTTCTGTGTTCTTAGTTGTGTTCCATTGCTCTGTGTGTCTGTTTTTAATGCCAGTGTCATCCTGTTTTGATTACTATAGTTCTCTAGCATAATTTGAAGTCAGGTAGCATGATTCCTCAGTTTTGTTATTTGCTAAGGATAGCTTTTGCTACTCTGGGCCTCATTTGGTTCCATATAAATTTTTGGATTATTTTTTCTATTTCTGTGAAGAATGTCATGGTATTTTGACAGGGATTATAGTCAGTCTGTTGATTGCTTTGCATAGTAAGGACATTTTAACCATATTGATTCTTCCAATCTACTAACATAGAATATCTTTCCATATTTTTGTGTCCTCTTCAATTTTTTGCTTTAATATTTTACAGTTTTACTGTAGAGATTTTTTTTTACTTATTTGGTTAAGGTTATTCCCAGGCATTTAATTTTATTGGTTGCTGTTGTAAATGGGATTACTTTTTTGAATTCTTTTTCAGATTGTTTGCTTTTGGCATATAGAAGTCCTACCCATTTTTGTATGTTAATTTTGTATCCGGCAACTTTACTGAATTTTTATCTGTTCTAATAATTTAGTGGAATCTTCAGGTTTTTCCAAATTTAAGATTATATCATCAGCAAACAAGGATAATTTGACTTATTCCTTTCCAATTTGAATGTGCTTTAATTTCTTTCTCTTATCTGACTGTTCTAGCTAGGACTTTCAGTATAATGTTGAATACTAGTGGTAAAAGTGGGCTCCTTTCCACGTTCCAGATCTTAGAGGAAAGGCTTTCAATTTGTCCCCATTTGCCATCATACTAGCTGTGGGGAAGTTGTATATGGCTCTTACTGTGTTGATGTAGGTTCCTTGTATACCTAGTGTTTTGAGGGTTTTTTTTTTATCATGAAGGAATGTCGAATTTTATCAAATGTTTTTTAGCATCTATTGAAATGATCATATGGTTTTTGTCTTTCACTCTGTTGATATGATGTATCATATTGATTGATTTGCCTATGTTGAACAATTCTTGCATGCCTGGCATAAATCTCACTTGGTCATGATTAATGATCTTTTTAATGTGTTGTTGAATTCAGTTTGCTTCTGTTTTGTTGAGAATGTTTTCATCAATGTTCATCATGGATAATGGCCTCTAGTTTTGTTGTTGTTGTTTTGATGTTTCCTTGTCTGGTTATGTTATCAGGGTAATGCTGGCTTTACAGAATGAGTTTGGAGGTATTCCCTCCTCTATTTTTTTATAGTTTGAGTATGAGGTATTATTTCTTATCGAAATATTTTGTAAAATTCAACAGTGAAGCCATTGGGTGCTTGGCTTTTCTTTGCTAGAAAACTTTTATTGTGGCTTTGATCTCATTACTTGTTACTGGGCTAGTCAGGTGTTGGATTTCTTCATGGTTCAATTCTTGTCAGGTTGTATGCATCCAGGAATTTTTCATTTATTCAAGGTTTTCCAATTTATTGTCATTTAGTTGCTCATAGTAGCCTCTAATGATTGTTTGAATTTCTGTGTTATTGGTTGTAATGTCTCCTTCTTCATCTCTGATTTTACTTATTTGGACCTTCTCTTTTTATTTTTCTTTAGATATTTATAAATTTTTTTCTTCTATTAATTTGGGGTTTGGTGTGCTATTGCTTTTCTGGTTATTCAAGATGCATCATTAGGTTGTTTGTTTAAAGTTTTTATACTTTTTTGATTTAGGCAGTTATTGCTAATTATAAATGTCCCTGTTAGTACTGTGTTCACTTTATCTCGTAGGCTTTGTTATGTTATTTCCATTTTCATTTGTTTTAAGAAATTTGAAAATTTACTTCTTAACTTTTTCATTGACCTACTGGCCATTAAGAGAGAGAATATTGTTTAATTTTCTATGTGGTTGATAATTTACAAAATTCTTCTTGCTATTGATTCCTAGTTTTATTCCATAGTGATCAGAGATGATACTTGATATAATTTCATTTTTAAAAATTTTTTTAAAGAAATTATATGGCCTAATGTATGGCTTACCTTTGAGAATGTTTAATGTACTGAGGAAAAAAATGTGTATTCTGCTTCCATTGAATAAATTGTTTTGTAAATATCAATCAGGTCCTTTTGGTCTATATTGCAGATTAAATCTGGTGTTTCATTATTTATTTTCTGTCTTGATGATTTTTCCAGTGCTGAAAGTGGTGTGACAAAATTCCCAGGTATTATTACACTGTGGTCTGTCTCTCTCTTTAGCTCCACAAATATTGGCTTTATATATCTGGGTGCTCAATGTGGGGTGCATATATTTTCAATTATTATTTTTCTTGCAGAATTGACCCCTTTGGCATTCAATACATAATCACAATTTTTGTCTCTTTTTATAGTTTTTTCTTTTGCTTGAAAAGTATTTTTCTGATATAAGTATACCCATTCTTGCTCTTTTTTGGTTTCCATTTGCACAGAATATCTTTATTTATCCCTTTATTTTCAGTCTATGTTATATCTACGAATGAAACCTGTTTCTTATAGGCAACAGATTATTGGGTCTTATTTATTTTATCCATTCAGCCACTCTGTGTCTTTTGATAAGAGAGTTTAGTCCATTTACATTCAATGTCGTATTAATAAGTAAGGACTTACTCCTGCCACTTTGTTATGTTTTCTGGTGGTTTGGTGGTTTTCTCTTCATTCTTTCATTCCTTTCTGTCTTCATTATAGTAAAGGTGATTTTTTCTAGTGGTATGTTTTAACGTTTTAAAACTATTCCATGTATCTGTTTTTGATTTGAGGTTGAGGCTTGCAAATAATATCTTATAAACTGTTATTTTAAACCAATGACAACTTAAAACTGATTGCGTAAACAAAGAGAAAACTAATACAAACTAATCTTTAATTTCATCCCCTGCTTTTTAACTTTTTGTTGTTTCTATTTATATCTTATTTTACTGTTTATGTCTTAAAAAGTTGTTATAGCTGTTATTTTTGGTAGGTTCCTCTATTAGACTTTCTACTCAAAATATGAGCAGTTTACATGCCACAATTACAGTGTTTTGATATTCTCTGTTTTTCTGTGTATTTGTTATTACCAGTGAGTTTTGCACCTTCAGATGTTTCATTATTGTTCATTAACATTATTTTCTTTCAGATTGAAGAACTCCCTTTAACATTTCTTGTAGGACAGGTATGGCATTAAAATATCTCAGCTTTCGTTTGTCTGGGAGTCTTCTTTTCTCTTTTATGTTAAAATAATATTTTTGCAGATATACTATTGTATATTGTATACTATTTTATATTATACTATTGTATAAGGATTTTTTTTCCCTCAACACTTTAAATATTTCATGCCACTCTCCCCTGGCCTATAAGGTTTCAAATGAGAAGTCTGCTGCCGGACATATTAGTACTCCTTTATGTTATTTTTTTCTTTTATCTTGCTTCTTTTAGGATCATTTCTTTATCCTTGAACTTTGGGAGTTGCTTATTAAATGGCTTGAGGTCATCTTATTTGGGTTGAGTCTACTTGGTGTTCTATAGCCTTCTTATACTTGGATATTGATATCTTTCTCAATATTTGGGAAGTTCTCTCTTAATATAACTAACTTTGAATAAACCTTCCACCCTAATCTCTTTGTCTAGCTCCTCGTTAAGGCCAATTACTCTTAGATTTGCCCTTTTGAGCCTGTTTTCCAGATCTTATAGGCATGCTTTTTCTTTCTTATTCTTTTTTTTAATCCCTTGACTATGTATTTTCAAATAGCCTGTCTTCATGCTGACTAATTTTCTTCTCCTTGATCAATTCTGCTGTTAAGAGACTCTGATGCATTTTTTAGTATTTTAATTGCATTTTTTAACTCCAAAATTTCTGCTTGGTTATTTTTAATTATTTCAATTTCTTTGTTAAACTTATCTGATAGGATTTTGAATTCCTATTCTGTTATCTTGAATTTCACTGAGCTTTCTCAACACAGCTGTTTAGAATTCTCTGTCTGAAAGGTCACATACCTCTTTCTCCAGGAATGGTTCCTTGTACCTTATTTAGTTCATGATGTGGTCATGTTTTCCTAAACGGTTTTGATGCTTGTGTATGTTTATTGGTGTCTGAGCACTGAAGATTAAGGTATTTATTTTAGCCTTTACACTTTGGGCTTGTTTGTGCCCATTCTTCAGAGGAAGGCTTTCCAAGTACACAAAGGGACTTGGGTTTTGTGATCTGAGTTTTTCACTGCTGCAGTTGTATCTGCATTAGGAGGCACCCCAATCTCAGTAACGCTGTGGCTTTTGCAGACTTGTAGAGGTACCACCTTGGTGGTCTTGGGTAAGATCTGGGATAATTCCCTGGATTTCCAGGCAGGAACTCTTGTTCTTTTTCCTTACTTTCCTCCAAACAAACAGAGTTTATCTCTCTGTGCTGAATTGCTTGGAGCTGGGTGAGGGGTAACACAGGCACCCCTGTGGTCACCACCACTGGGACTGTTCTCAGTCAGACCTGAAGCCAGCACAGTACTGGGTCTCATCAAAGGCCCACCATGACCACTGCCTGGCTACTGCCTATGTTTACTCAAGGCCTGAGGGCTCTACAGTCAACAGGTGGTGAATGAAGCCAGACTTGTGTCCTTCCTTTAAAGGAAGTGAATCCCCGTGGCAATGGGCAGGTCCATAGATGCCATCTGGGAACCAAAACCTAGAGCCACGTCCTTAGAAATCTACCTAGTGCTCTACTCTACTGTGGCTGAGCTGGCAACCAAGCTGTAAAAGTTCTTTCCTCTCTTCCCTCCCCTTTCCTCAAGCAGAGGAGTTTCTAAGCATGACTACCACCACCCTGGGTTCTTGGCAAGTATCACCTGGTTACTGCTGATGTTCACACATGGTCTAAGAGTACCTCAGCTTGCATGTGGTGAATGCTGCCAGTCCTGAGTCTCTCCTTACAGGAAGTGGATTTGCCTCTGACCCAGGGCAGGTCTAGAAATGGCATCCAGACATCCAGACCCAATTCCCAGACTGGGGACTCCAGGATCCCACTTGGTTTTCTTCCCCACTGTAGCTGAACTGGTACTGAAGCTGCAAAGCAAAGTCCCTTTTACTCTTAGATCTACTTTCCTCAAACAGGAGGAGTCTCTCCCTATAGCCACCATAGCTGGCATGTGTGGGGTTACACCTGAAGCCAGCATAATACTGATTCTCACCCCATGCTGTGGCAAGTACTACCTGGCTACCACTGCTGATTATTCAGGTCCAAGGGCTCTTTAGTCAGCAGGTAGTAAATCCTTCCAGGACTGAGTCCTTCCCTTCAAGGAAGAGCACTTTCTTTAGCCCAATATATCTCTAGAAATGTCATCTGGGAACTGGGGCCTAGAATGGGGACCTCAGGACTCTGCCTGGCACCCTATTTTTCTGTGACTGAGCTGATACTCAAGTTGTAAGACACAGTTTTCTCTACTCTTCCTTCTCCTCTGCTCAAGAAGAGAGAAGGAGTCTCTACTGGAGCTGCTAGCTGTGCTGCATGGAGTTTGAAGAGGAATGGCACAAGCACTTCCTTGGCTGCCCCAGCTGGTGTCTCACTAGGTTGTGTGAATCCTAAGTTTACTGGCTTTGAGCCCAGTACAGCACCAGGACTTGCCCTGGACTTGCAATCCTTGTGGCCTAGACAGCCTTTCAAATTCATTTAGAATCCCAGAGCACTTTAGCCCATAGTGCTGGGTTTACTGAAACTCAGGTTGTGACCACTGAGATACATGACTCACCTCTGGCTAGGGCTTGTCTAAATGCTCCCTCCGGGAGTATAGGCTGAGTTCTGCCCTGTGTTGCTTTCCACTGTGACATGGCAGTACTGAGTTCCAATGCAAGATTTCATAATCACTGTGCTGTCTCTACCTCATACATACAGATTTTATCTCCATGCCATGTGACCACTGCTGGGGTGTGGGAGAGGGATAGTATAGGTGATTAAAAACTGTCTTTCCTACTCTCTTCAGTGCCTACTCTTCTCAGTCCTCACCTGATTTTTCCTTCTCATAAAGGTATGTTTTTGTGGACTTTTGTTCAATTTGGTGTTACTCTGGGGAGGGATGATCACTGGAGGCTTCTATTTACCTATCTTGCTCTGCCTCTTTGTCCAGGGATGAAAGAATTTCTTTTTTTTAGAACCTGTATTCTCAAGCTTTCTGTGTATCATCCCTAGCCCTCCTCATGGCCCACTAGAACTGTACCTTTTATATTTGTATTTAACAGTTTGAAAATGGATTATCTTAATAGCAGTTTGCTTTAGTGAAACATAAGGACTGCTGTCCAGTCCCCTTTATGAGAAGTACCTTTACTTATATTATAGGGATGTACCTAACCATGCCTCTTTGCCGTAGATCCTTTTTTTTTTTTTTAAGATGGAGTCTTGCTCTGTTGCCCAAGCTGGAGTGCAGCGGCACAGTCTTGGCTCACTGCAACCTCCACCTCCTGAGTTCAAGCGATTCTCCTGCCTCAGCGTCCGGAGTAGCTGGGATTACAGGCGTGTGCCACCACACCTGGCTAATTTTTGTATTTTTAGTACAGATGGGGTTTCACCATGTCGGTCAGGCTGGTCTCGAACTCCTGACCTCGTGATCTGCCCACCTTGGCCTCCCAAAGTTCTGGGATTACAGGCGTGAGCCACCGCAGCTCCCATTTTTATGTGAATGTTAAGTTTGATCTTTCTCTTTCTCCATAATTAAAAATGGGATAATAAAAAAGTATGTTCCCAACCTCAGAGTGTTTTGAGGTACCTAAATATTACTTAAAAGAGTCAAAGAGGAAAAATAAATTCAGAACTGTAAGGCCACCTGGGGTGGTATTTAATTGACCCCTCTGTGCCTCATGGGAATATGTTTCTGCAAAGTTGCTTGATCCATTGCTATGTTCAGGTTCCTGGATAATGTCTTCAGGTTTTTGCTCTCACTTTGATATGTCTGTAGTAAGCCCCAGTTTACCAACTGATGAATGACTTAATAGGAAAAAGAGAACAAGTGCCAACTTAACAAAATCAAGGAGCTGCCAACAGAGAAAAGAAGCACTTTTCTTTTTAAGCCTAATTTGAGTTCTCTATAAAAAATTAGAATGTGGATCTTTTCTCCCTTCTTTCAGCTCAAGAAAGAAATAACTCCAAGTACCAACAATTCTCCTTAACTTTTTTCTTTCTTTACATAGAATGAGTAAAAATCACCTAATTTGAACATCAATTATAGTTGCTTCAGTGATTCCCAGAGAAGCTATATATTCTGTCTTCTCCATACTACTACAGAATGTTTCAAGGCAGTATAAAGATAATCAAGTGAAGACCTTTAGCAAAAAATACTTTCACTGCTGAGGTTTATAAAGGAAGTTTTAAGCTGCTTAAAAGTGTGTATATAAAATGAACTTTGACAGACTAGTTAGAATTGTTTGAATAAATGAAAAGTACTATTCCATGCCATAGAGAAAAAAAAGTCACTTATTTTTCCAATTCATCATTTTACACAGGAGAAAACTGATTTGCAGATAGCCCAACATATGTGGAGTAATGAATATTGGCATTCCACGGATACATGCCGATAGCATATGTATACCCCTTTCCTAATATCATAGGAAACAGTATAGTACATTAATGGAAATTTAATATCAGACTGGAAAATAGTGTATATTACTATTTTCCTATCTTTTCATTGTGGGGCATTGTGTAAGTCACTGAAGACCTCTGAGTCTCATCAATAAAATTAAAGCATCAATATCTACTTCTTAAGAAATAACTCTATAATTATAACAGCAATAATAATTATTAAATGATAATAGATTCCAAGCATTCTTTTAAGCATTTTGCATGGATAAATGAGCCACAAACTCTATGAGTAAAGTGATATTTGTATACTCGTTTTACAGAGTAGGAAACTGATGGATAGGAACAGGAGTAGAACATTGTGGTTTGGGGCGAATTCCTTCATCTACACCAAAGGCTCTAATATAAAACCTACTTATAGGTTTTATAAACCATAAAACCTATTTGTTATTAGATGTTTTATATTATATAGTTCTTTTCATGATTCCTTGGACCTGTAGGGCTTATTCTGTAAATAAAATATGTCTCAGAAACCTCCTGATGTTTGATTTTACAGACACAAATACACACACACACACACACACACACACATATGTTTTGCTTTCTATTTCAAATTATAGTTGTTTCTTGTTTGGTAGAAGTAATATTCTTGTTTCTTGTATGGTAGAAGTACTATTGGCTGCCATCATTGCATACCTCCTCTATGAAGATAAGTATATGGTACTTACAATGGGATTGCTAATGTAGAGTTGTACCAATTCTCTTGCTTAAGATAATTGGACTACACAGGTTCACAGTGAACACAGGACTGTGCTGGATGTTATGACCTGGGAAATGAGAACTTTTTTGTAAGTTTCTTCTTCCCTGATAATCATCTACATCTATAATTGGTCGTAGATGGTTGGTAGACTGATGGTAGAGAAAAGTAAAAAATAAATTCTTTATCTAGATATTCTTGTCCATTAATTTGGATAAGATATTGAAACAGTATATGGGAAGAAAACTTATTTTTATTCTTACTCTCCTTATAAAATAGGGGCTCATTTATGCTTCAGGCTTGAAACTTCTCATTATCTAGGACCATTAAAAGTAGATGAGAGTGATAAAAACAAGAAAGAACTGATGAAATTCTGTTTAACTTCCAAGTGACATGTGTGCACAAGCTGTGAATAAAGCTATATTTCATATTTAATTTTAAAATTGCTGTTGTTAGTCTATATTTCAATTATGCATAATTTTCCTAAAATAATACATTTAGCGTATAACTCCCAGAAGCTAACAGCTGTTGGAGACAGTATTTTAATTAACAACCTTTGTCTCAATGAATTTTGTACAGAAAAATAAGAGGGAATGTAGAGACAAATTTACCCACTTCTCTTTAATAAATAGGAAATTGTAATATATTTGGACAATGCTAGATCCTAGTAAGAACAAGAGTTATTAAACCAAAATAATCTTAGCTATTAAATAAAAGAAATTCAGGAAACCAGAATGAAAAAGCTACATTTTACCAATTTATACTCAAAGTAAATCACAGGGATATGACTTGTTTAATGTGATTTATATCTAAAAAAGAGAAAATCAAAACTGAAAGTGAACCTAAGATATTAAACCAAAGAAATGTATAGAAAGGAGGGAATTAGAAAGTCTTCCTTGTTTTTATGGGTGTGTTCTTCTTGGTTCTAAATAAATGCTAAAGTAAGAGAGGAAATAAAATGTAAAGGAATGAACCTAAATTTTTATATTTCACCATTTTGTTAGCTTGGGTAGGATTCTGAATCTCAGTTTAATAATCTATAAATAGGCAAGTAGTACCCACGTTACCAATGTGTGAAGGAGAATATAGTGTCACACATATACTATAGTCTGACCAAAATAAAACTTAAACACTTTGCTGTTGCTGCAGTTGTAACTTTTGTTACAATAATAATAATGTTCTTGAACCGAATCTTCTTTTCACATTTCCTTTGTTACCAGGCCAATGACACTATACTTTTCGCCTTACTGTTCAGGGATCAAGAATAGTTTTGTAGCTTCTTTTGGGGTAAAAATGGGAAATAAAATATAATTGTATCAAAAAATCTTTATGATATTTAGGTTAATATCATACACATATATGCACATGTACCCCATCCATGCACATGCAAACACATGTGTATCTCATGAACTTGACAGTCAAAATAATAGAAAGAAAATAACTTAATACCATGGGGAATATCTTTTTTTTGTTGAAATGGAGTCTTGCTCTGTCACACAGGCTGGAGTGCAATGGCATGATCTTGGCTCACTGCAACCACCAACTCCCTGGTTCAAGCGATTCTCCTGCCTCAACCTCCCCAGTAGCTAGGATTACAGGCACGTGCCACCATGCCCAGCTAATTTTTGTATTTTTAGTAGAGACGGGGTTTCACCATGTTGGCCAGGATGGTCTCGATCTCCTGACCTCCACGCCCGCCTCAGCCTCCCAAAGTGCTGGGATTACAGGCGTGAGCCACTGTGCCCAGCTGGGAATATCTTTTGTTCGTGCATCTATGTAAACACTAGAAGAAAAATAGTAGAAAAAGAAAATAGACAATGATATTACACTCCTTCTAAATCCCCTCTCTCATATTACATTCATTAAAAGGCATAAAAATGTAAGAATGGTAGAAGACAGAGAAAGAAAACTTGGTTGATTCGAAACCACATAAAATCTCTAAAAGGCAAGAATCAGAATTGTATTTCAGAAGAAGTTACAGACCAGGAAAGTAAAAGCACAAAAGTGCTTAATAGCTCACGGTGTAAATTCAAAAAGCAAATAGGAACATATATTAGTGTCCAGTGGCTGCTATAACAACTTGCTACAAACTTCATTGTTTAAGGCAACAGATATTTATGATTTCACTGTTCTGGGGCGCAGAAGTCTGAAATCAGCATTGCTAGGCCCAAATCACGGTGTTGTCAGGCCACGCTCCTTCTGAGGCTCTAGGAAAATGAAAACATTGTTTTTTGCCTCTTCTAGCTTCTGGTGACTGCCAACATCCTTGGCTTGTGATCAAGACCTGCATTTTGAAATCTCTTTCTGCTCCACCCTCACATCACTTTTCTCCTCTGAGTATCTGTCTTCTTTATTTCTGTCGATAGCAAATCTTTCCCTGCCTCTCCCTTACATGTGATTGCACTTAGAGCCCACCAGATCATTCAGAATAATAGTGCTCTATCAAGATTCTTAATTTAGTCGCATCTACAAAGACCTTTTGTCCTTGTAAGGTAACATTTGCAGGTTCCGGGAGGTAGGCTGCGTTGTCTTTGGGTGGCCATTATTCAGCTGTCTATACAACCTAAGTTTACCAAGCTTGCTATTACTATGTGAGGTATAGTAGAATTATTAACAAGGGACCACAATGGAGGAACACTGTCCAGAATGAAAAACTGCTAGGAGTTTCCAAATCAGATGGACCCTTAAGTGCTAAGTTTTACAACATCAAAGATAAGAAAAAGTATTCAAACCATTCAGAAGTAGAAAAGAGACCTATACCCACACTCACACCCACACTAAAACAGCATTTCTTAAAATAAATAAGCATTAAATTGACTTGATACTTTTTAAATTTACCTCACCAAATTAAAGAAGAAAATAAAGCAATTTCTGCAAAATCCTGAGAGAATTGAACATGAATTATTTTTATAATAAGTATCAATTAAAATATTTAAATCTATAAATAACTAAATACATGACTTTAAAAGCCTTAAACAATAAGATATTTTATCTCTTATAAAAGGAACCTAAGAAGAAAGGTTTCTATGGTGACTAAAACATGTTAGAGTCCCTTGGTCCTTTTCTCTGGAAGAGAGGTTATAATTGCCCAGATTGCACTTATACTGTCCTATTTATTACCTCGGGTGGAGAAGGCCCCCGAAGGTCCTGAAACACCTTAGTAGAAAGTAAAAATATGACTATCAGATTAGCTGCCAGCATCGCATACCTCCTCTATGAATATAAATATATGGTAATGGCACATGGAGAGACAAGTAGACCAATAGATGAGAATAGTTAGGAGAGAGACACAGAAATGTATGATTACCTAATGTAGGGCAAAAGTTTTATTATCGTACAATTGAAAGGATGGTTTATTTAATAAAAAGTACTGGGTTTGCTGGCCATCTATGTATCTATGCATGCACACATGTACATATATAGTTATATATAATATACATGATGTGATATATAAGAGCTATATCTATAGTTACATGTATAATATTAATACTTATCATCATGCTAAAAACAATTACAGATGTATAGCAGATCTAAATAATAAGGTAAAGTAAAACAGTAAAACTTACAGAAGAAAATTGTCTTCATGATAATGTAGTCAAAGCCTTCTTGATTAGGACCAATGAAACCTTGATAAATTAAACTTATTTATAGTTAAGAATAAACACCATTAAAAGAGTGTAAAGGGAAACCGCACAGTGGGAGCTGATATCTGTATTACACATAAGCAACAAAGGACTGATATTTAGAATATAATGAAGGTCAAAATTTAGAATATTTAGAATATTGTAGGACTTTTAGAATATAAAGAATTCCTACAAATAAAAAAGATATACAACCTATTTTCAAAGGACAAAATTATTTAAAAGACACTTCACAATAGAGTTTATCAAGATAGCCAATAAACATATGAAAAGGTTTTCAATAGTATTTGTTATCAATAAAGGCAAAGGCAAATAAATGCCATAATGCAACATCACCTCACATCCAGAAGAATGGCTACATTTAAGAAGACTGACTACCCTAGGGGTAGGGTTGAAAAAAAATTACATTCTGGGTGCGAAGTCCAATATTTGGGTGATGGATACCCTAGAAGCCCAATCCCCATCATTATGTATATAATACCCAACAAACAAGCGCATGTACCCCTCAAATCTAAGATGAAAATATATATTAAAAAAAATACCAACTATCCCAAGTCTGATAAACATGTGGTGCAATGAGAACTTCCCTTTGTTAAAAATAGAAACATAAAATGATACACTTGCCTTGGAAATCTGTTTACTAATGTCTACTAAAGCTGAAAAAATGCACATACCATCATGAACAATTTTATTCCCAGCTATCTTCTCAATAAAATGTGTACATAAAATATCTATAAAAATGCTTATAGTACTGTGAAAGCTTCAAAATGGCAGTGTAACCAAATATCCATCAAGATCAGAATGGATAAAGTAATTGTAAGATATTCACATAATAAAATGTTATTCACCATTGAGAATGAAAAATTACAGGTACTTCTGAAACAATACCACTGAATTAGAAAAGCCAAACACAAAATAGTCCATTTGTCATTTTATTTGTATAAACTTTAAAAACTAACATATGGTATTATATTACATATCAAGAAAATGATTGCCCAAGGTATTGTTGTAACTCAAAGGAAGCATGAGGCAGGTTATAGGATGCTGAAAATATTCTTTTTCTTTATCTGTATAGTGGTTCTATACAAAAATGTATAGCATTGTATTTTTATGATATGTTCATTTTCCATATGGTTTCAACAAGAGAATTATGTAAAATCATAAACTACGTGTGAGAAACTAAAAAAATTGATTTTTTCAATTGTGTAAGGCCCAAGAAAATTATTAACTGAACAATCTCCTCTGAAACCGTTACTAGAATATTCACTGACACAGAAGGAAACATAGCAGAAGAAGGAAGTAAGAAATTCAGATGTAGAGCAATGAAATCAATTAGCAAAACATACTGAAAAATACACTGGAAAGAAAAAGTTCTATCCATTCTGGAAACTATTTTAATAGCAAAGGCTTTATGTCTGTATTGCAACAGGACAGGATAGTGTCAGTCGTTACACTGATTGATTGTGTAATACATGACTTAATCAGCCAAACAAACAGTTCATGTGTTTTATGAGTTGATGGAATCCTAAAAGTGTGTTAAAGTTTATAATCAGTGTCAGTTTAATTTAGGAAAGAGTAATTATTCAAGGTAACTAGTACTTTGGAATTTTGATTCTCTGGCCATTTTTGTGAGGGGAATTCCTCACCCCAACACCATTATCCACATGTATCACTGCCAATTATAGCTGTATATATGGTATATTCACAATATTATGTTTAGTAACATTAATTTGTAATACTCTCTGGTAGGGTTTAATCTGCACATCTGGAAGACAATTTTATATTAGCACTTTATTGCCAGAAAGCAGAATTCTGGTCATAAAACTACCAGGCTATACCTTACTGATCTCTAAGGTTTGGTTGCCTTTGCTGGATCTATGACGGGCCTAAAAGACACCCAGTTGATGATTATGATAACCCTCAAGAGGTTTATTGCAGCCTGGGTTGCATTTATATTGGTTTTAATGCCCTCATCTTGAACTACGAAGACAGAGCTACTTTGATTGATTATCGCCCATTGTCCTTCTTGAGCTACAAGCAAATATTCAAGAGTTGTTTGATTGTGCATGTTTTCTATAATCAGGCCTTAAATTCCTGTCTGTTTCCCTGAAGGTATCCATAACAAAATTTGCCAACTATTTAATAGTCACTGAAGTGCCTGGAACAGCTTTCCCTATTAATTTAATCTAATCCTGGTATTAGAATTCTAAAGGCCCCATTAAACACAAATTGCTATTTTTGAGGCCTGATAAGTGTTTCTTTGTGCTACAATAAGTTTTATTAGTAATTCTGAGCAGGACAGACAAAGTCCTAAGAAAATCCTCAGCTGTCATTTTCTTAGCTAGTTTTTTTTTTAATTGCCATCAATAAAATCATTGTTCTGTATTTATAATGCTAACATTTTAAGCTTGTAAAAAATATTTAATATGTAACATTGACACTTGGGAATGTATATGTATGTGCGAAAGAGAAAAAAGAGAAAGAAAAGAAAGAAGAAAAGAGAGAGAGGAAGGAAGGAAGGGAAAGAAAGGGAAAGAAAGAAAGAAAGAGCTATAAGGCCATATTTTTTTGAACTACACTGAAGGGGAAACAAAGTTTTACAGAGTTGCTGTGAGTCAGAATGAATACTCTGCAATGATCAGAGATGTGAAACTTGGGTATTAGGATACTGGCAAATATTTCACCTTATAATCTTTTATACCATAAAATTTCTATCTGAGGTACAGCATCCATCAGTTCTAAGCAAAAGGATAAACATTTGTTCTAGCTTCGGAAATGTACATTTAAATTATATTTTGGAAGGAGAAAAAGCATGTAATTTAACGACAAAATAATTCACATTTGTTAAATCCAATCATTATATATCATTAAGTTCAATAAAAGTTTCCCATGTGCTATAAAAAGTAAAATATACAACCAAAGAGAATTCCCTATTTGTGTCAGGGGACATATTTCTACCACTCAGGCTCTCAAGAATACATGTTTATGCATATCTGTCATTGTGATCACTTGTGTAAAAAATACGTAATAGAAACCCTTGAGCGTTTCATTATCAGCTTTCTTTGTTTTTTTTTTTTTTTTTTTTTTCTTTTTTTTTGGTTTTCCACATTTTTCTGGTACCTAGGGACAGCTTAGCTGTTTTTTTAGCTTAGTGTTTTTCATTAGGTTGTAGAAAAGCTGTTGACAGGGACAGTAGTCTTTAAAGACATGACGGGGGGCCTGAAGTTCTTTTTCCAAGTTCATGCATGTGGTTTTGGCAGGAGGTTTCAATTCCTCCCACATGAATCTCTCACAGAGCAAGTGATTCCATAGCAAGACCAAAAGAGAGAGAAAGTGAGCACGTGCTTGTAATGAAAACTGCACCTTAAAATTGCGCTAATCTTGTAAATGATGGCCTAACTTCAGGCTTATGTTGTCAGCGCAATGCGGAAGGCGAATACAGAAGGTATGAATACCAGGAAGGAGAGACCATTGGGCGCCATCCTAGCAACTGACTACTACAACATCATTCCCAATAACTCACTTATAAGGAAAGGAAATTACAGACCAGCAGGGCCAAGGTCAGGACACACACACACACACACACACACACACACACACACACACATTTGTTTTTGAATTATTTTTCTTCTTTTCATAGCCAGCAGAAGTAATATACATTCTTGTAATATACATTCTTAATAATTAGTTCTCTTTTGATTTATTTATGGGTTGATTTGCCCTAGAATATTAAGCACAGTCCCAGCAACCTCATGAATTCTCCAAATTTAATAAAGATTCCAGGTACCCACATAATGGCAATTTTCAAACAAACTTATCAAAGAAAACATCTACAATAGAAGAAAAATTAAAATAGAAAGCTCATGCAGAGATCAAACCTCTAATTATATGTAGGGCAGACAATTTTGGGTTTCTTGCTGCTAAATAGGTTAAAGAAAGAACTTGGACGGAAGAATTTTGAAATATTATCTAACGTGGCCTCCAGCCAAATATCTCAGGCTGTGAATTCATCAGATTGATGCAAACTAAGCAAGATTTAAATAACAAAATGGGTCCCTCAAAGGACTGCCTTTTGGCAATGGCAATTTTGCATGTTTTGCTTCTCTTTAGTTCATGTACAGCAACCATCTGAAAAGTAAAGCTACAGTGGACTTGGCCTGTTCAAATAAAATAAAAATTCTAGATTTAATTATAATAGTGCTATCATAATAACACATGATTTGTTGCCTTTAAAATGAGCAAGAGTGAATTATTAACTATTGAGGTTTTCCTATAATATCTTTCTATTCATTTCCTGATCTCCAAACATATTCTTTGGTGAAGTATTCAATAAATTGTGATTGTATTAAATAGCTGGCTTTACTATTTTTTAAGAAATTTAGAAATTCAAGTTTAATTACTATCTTGAAATTCTTCAATAATGATATAAATGGCAAAGGTTTTATTTCTGATGTGTCAGTCCTGACAGGGTAAATGTGATAATGATTTTTAATATTCTGTAAAATTGCATATCAGATACTGTCTTTAAAATATGCTTTACTATTATTCATTTTATAAGGTAATGATATTTGATTCTGTTTCTTTTAATTTTCTGTTTGATTTTCTTTATTTCCCATTTTCTCACTATGAAATAGAATTAGGTACAAAAATGTCCAGAATAGTACAATGAAGTGAAACAAAGTAGAAGATTAAAGAAAGGGAAACTTAACTTTTCCTTTTGTACTGCTCGTATTTATTTTTATTTAATGCTTGCACAAAATAATAAGGTGTGAATTTTATTATATATTTTACATGATGAAACTGGGGCTCAAAGCAGGGTTAAGGTAGTGAAATAACTTGTTCATTTTCACAAAACAAGGAGTGAAGAACCTTGGAGTCAAGATCAAGTCATTCTGACATCAAAGCCCTTGCTTGTTTCAAAATAACATACTCTCCTTTTCTGAAATAAACTTTGGTAGATTTCTGTTTGTTTGGAAAAACAAACAGGCAAAAAAATCTCATAAAATTTCCTCTGCCGAATTTTGGGAACATGAATTCTAAATAATTTCCAACACGGATATAATACTTTCCCTAAGCGATGAGAGTGGCACACTATGTCTAGACTCCTCAATGTGGTTTTTGCTGAACACCAGCCTTCCATCTGGGAATCTGGATTTTGAAACCTGTGAGGTGGAGGGTGCCTACTTGACAAGCCCCCAAAATGTTCCCCAGGCACTGAGTCTCTAAATAGAGCTTCTGTGGTAGACAACACTTCACACATATTGTCACAATTGGAATTTGGATGAATGAAGCATGTCCTACACGACATCACAGGAGACAACCCTTGGAAGCTTGCAATTGGTTTCTTCTGGAGCTCGCTCCATGTGGCTTTCTTCTTTGCTGATTGTGTTTTTCATCCTTTTACAAATCCTATTCAAGAGGACCTCTGTATGCTAAGTCCTGTGAACCTTCCTAATAAATCATCAAACATGGGGATGGTCCTGGGCACTCTCAACACGATGTCAAAAACAATAATAATAAAGGAAAGGATAAAAATCAACAATAAAACATGCCCAAGAAGAAACTGATGGGACTATGTCAAAATAAAGGATTGTGATTAGTATAATTTACACATAAAGAAATTTAAAATGTTGAAGAATGACACTACAGAAAATTTTATGGGTCTTATAAGAGTCTCCTTATCCCTACTATTTGTCTAGACATGTGGCCATATTAGTTGTTTTCCAGTCCTCTCTTACCTCTTCATATTCCTGACCATGAAAATGGATTTCAGTATGCTCAACTATCCCAAATCTCTCAGCACTCTTCCCTACAATTTACAAAGAGAGAGGTAATCTAAGATCTGAACGTGAGACTTTAGATATATGAGCTTATAGTTACTGGTGAAATTCAGAGGTTGTAGCCATCCTTCAGAGAAAAATAGGGAGAAGAGACTGGGAAAATTCTGAAAATGTTCAAGTGCTGAGTTTATCTCCAGGATGACAGATAGGATAAGTAAGATAAGGAAAAGGTTAGTGGAGTGGATTGAAAAAAGTGTGGAGCAATTATGGTACAATTTCAGGTTTCACCAATTTACAAGAATTAATAAGCCAAACATACAATGAGAGAATGCAGTATGAGTGGGTTGGTTGAAACAGGAATTCAGTTTTAAAGGCTAACTTTTGGCAGAGGAGAGAACACTAGGTAGCTTAGGAATGGAAGTTTGATGGAGTGGGATGTATGGAGAACATTTCTTTTTGTAATTTCTTATTTTTAAATATATAGGAGTAGATAAAGGGCATTTGCATTAAAAATATGTCAAAACAGCATCTGGCTTGTAGACAAGAAAATAGTAATTTCTCCTCTGGCAATGAAGCCAAAATTGACAAGAAATGGCATTTCACAGATACCAAGTGCATCCTAGTGACAGGCTAGGCATATTAAGTGAACAAAAATGGGACTTTTATAGTAAAGATATAGTGCATTAGACACAGACAATTTCATTCAAATGGCTTCAATCCTTTGTCTATGCTTAAAACAGTCGCAGAATAAATAAAATTTTAAACTTCAAATCTTAAATATTTCACACAGTACATCTATAGAAAAGCCTAGTAACAGTGAAATCATACTGGAGGTAGAAACACTTTCTTTTCCTATTTGTAGAGTATTACGTTTCTTCTCTCAAAAAAGTAAATCAAAATAGTGATATTCTTTCAGCAGGAAATGAATAAGAAGGTAGAATCTCTCTCTCTCTCTCTCTCTCTCTCTCTCTCTCTCTCTCTCTCTCTCTTTCAATGGATAATGTAAATGTCTGTGAGAGTGTGCATATTTTCTTCAAAATATCTTAAACGGTAATATGTGGGGATAATAGCATATTCCGTTCTAGTCCATTGTTATCTGAATAAGTTTCTTGATATAAATAATTACATGCATTGAAACAAAAGACCTAGCATCCTCTATAAGATGTAAAAATAAGAAGTAAGGAAAATAAAAATCTAGTTAGTTTTTGGAGTGAATCTGAAATAAAGAGCGATTTTATTGTGGTGATTATAACCAGTAGTAAAACAGCACTGATTAAACTACTTAATATGATTTCTCAAGGGACAGAAAATTGGAAAAGTAATAAAGGCAAAATGTGAGAAACCCTAGTACCCTTGTCAGGTAATTTTAATGATCACTTGGAAATTATGTTAGTGAAAAAAACAATGAAACTTCTGGAAGAAGGATTGAAACATTCGAAAGAGAGAAATATTCTACAAATTTCTGGCTCAGCCTCTGACAAAGCTCTTCTTATATACTACTATGTCATTGACAACAAAAATATCTTTACAGAAATAGTATCCTTGATTCATTATAACAGATTCAGCAAAATGTAAACAAGCAATGCAGGAAAACTCAAAAGATATTATAAATATATAAAACTTCCCACTATAAAAGAAAATGTTGAACTTATTAGGTGGATGAGTTATTAACTTTAATTGTAGGCATAAATTACTAAAGAGATGGTTTGTGACAACAACAACAACAATCCAAAACATTAAACAGAAAACGAGAGATCGAAGGTTTGTAAGAATTCATAAGGAATATATCTTGTAAAATTCATTTTATATCCTTCATTGAGAGATCAAAGGAATTGCATAGCGAGTGCATTGTGACTTCAAAGCATTGTAAAGTCTTATTCAGATATCATTGTTAATAAGGTGATAAAAATGAGGTAGGAGGTTATGTTCAGGCATTATTAGAAAATTAAAAACTGATTTATAAAAATAATTAGGACTAGCAGTTACAATTAATAGAATCCTTCATATTTACCAAATACATTTTTCCATATATTGAAGTTTAGTGGAATAACATTCTTCTCTAATTTCATACACATAATAAGTGACAGAAAATGCACCAAAAAAAGAATTCTGTTAATTCAAGATTTCCTTAGCCTCTATCATACTCAATATAACTTAAAAGAATATAGAAGGCATACGCATGAAGCTGAAGCTGTATAAAACATGACATGCACTGGATAATAAGAAATATATGAATAATAATAATATTTTAAAGACTTAGGCTTTCAGTAAGATGAACCTTAATAGGTATGAATATGAGAATGTGCAGTTAGTTTTCAATTCTTTAAAATAAATTAATTTATTCCAGGTATGCAAATCTGGCTCAATATTTGAAAATTAATTATGTAATTCACCATAGCAAAGGCCTAAAAAGAAAAAAAAATCACATGATCATATTGATTAATGCAGAAAAGAACTGACAATTTCAATTCAAGGTAAAACAACTAGGAACAAAGATAAATTCCTCAAGGTTATTAAAAAAACAGCTTACATAACACTGGTAGCAGACTGGATATTTGGCGCTCCTTCAATTCTAAAAATATCTTCTCTCACCACTCTTATTCAACATTGTACTGGAAGATCTATTTTGTCCGCAAGAGAAGAAAATAAAAGGTATATATATTGGTAACATGAGAAAAAAGTATTTCTTTACAGATAACATTATTGTCTATGTAGAAGCAATTTAATTGTCCAACAATACAATTTGCAACAACAAATATTGAAATTTTGGGGTATAAATCTAACAAAATATGTGTGGAGTTTATATGCAGAAAACTATAAAACATGGATGTATATCATTAAAGATCTAAATTAGAAAAGAGATATTTGAGGTCATGTATTAGAAGACTCAATATTGTCAAAATGCCCATGCTTCCAAAATTGATCTACAATTTTAATAAAATCTAATTCAAAATATCAACAAGATGTTTTGTTGATATTTATAAGCTCATTTCAAACTTTATTTGAAAAGGAAAGAACCTAAAATAACACAATAACAAAGAAGTACAATGTTAGAGTACACACACTACCAATTTGAAGATGTGGTATAAAGGCATATGAATCTAGTCAGTGTTATATTGTCAAAACAAAGACATAAATATTAATAAAACCAAATAGAGAGCACAGAAATAGACCTGCAGAAATACAGTCAGCTTATTATTCACAGTCACTAAGATAGTACAACAGAAAAAATATTTTCAGCAAATGGTGCTAGAATTTGATATCAATATGCAAAAAAAAAGGACCTAGACATAGACTTTAGACCTTTTACAAATTCAACTCAACATGGATCATAGACCTAAATGTAATATGCAAAACTGTGAAACATCTAGAAGAAAACAAAGGGGAAAATCCAGGTGACCTTGGGTTTGATGATGATTTTAAAATACAACATCAAAAGTATGATCCATTATATTAAAAAAATAGATAAGTTGGATGTTCTTTAAAGTAAAAGTGTCTGCTCTGTGAAAGATACTATAAAAAAGTAAAATAAGACATGAACAGGGATAAAATAATTGTAAAACACTTTTATGATAATGAGCTTGCATTAAAACATTCAAATAACTGTAAGACCCAACCAAGAAAGCAAACAACCAAATTAAAAAATTGGAAAGAGATCTGAACAGACACCGCAACAAATAAGATACACAAATTTCAATCATAATATGAAAATATGCTCAATATCATGTCATAGGGCGATGCAAATTAAAACAATAATGAGATACCTCTAAACACCTATTAGAATGGCCAAACACACAGACATAACACAAAACAAAAATCAACACAGACACACAAAACAACCTGGCAATTCTAATTGCTTGGGAGAAAACAGAACAACCGAACCTCTTTTTTTTTTTTTTTTTTTTTGTTGAGATGGAGTCTCTATCGCCCAGGCTGGAGTGCAGTGGTGCGATCTTAGCTCACTGCAAGCTCTGCCTCCCGGGTTCAGCCATTATCCTCCCTCAGCCTCCTGAGTAGCTGGGACTCCAGGCGCCTGCCACCATGCCTGGCTAATTTTTTTTGTATTTTTAGTAGAGACAGGGTTTCACCATGTTAGCCAGGATGGTCTCAATCTCCTGACCTTGTGATCTGCCTGCCTCGACCTTCCAAAGTGCTGGGATTACAGGCATGAGCCACCGCACCCGCCCAACAACCGAAACTCTTACTCACTTTTGGTGGGAATGCAAAATGGTACAGCCACCATGAATACAGTTTGGAAGTTTTGTACAAAATTAAACATACTTTTACCATATAATCCAGCACTTGCACTCCTAGGTATTTACACAAGTGAGTAGAAAAACTTAGATCTGCACAAAAATATATATGTACAGGTTTATAAGAATTTTATTCATAATTACCAAAGACTGTAAACAACTGAGATATTCCTCAATGTGTGAATGGATTAAAATATGTGGTGCATCCATACAATGAAATAGTATCCAGTGATAAAAAGTAATAACTGTTGAAGTCACTCAAAAGCATGAATAAACCTTAAATGCATATTGCTAAATGAAAGAACTCAATCGGAAAGGCTACATGCTGTATAACTCTCTATATAAAATTCTGGGAAAGAAAACCTAAAGACAGTAAACAAATGAGTTGTTAATGGAGCAAGGGATGGGCTTTAATAGGTAAAGCACAGAGCAGAGAGGTGGAACTATGCTATATGGTAATTCATGGTAGATACATGACAATATTCACTTATCAAAACCCATAGACCTTTACATCTTACAGTGTAGAACGACCTCAATGAATGTGCATGTGTGTATATATAAATATATGTGCAAAATACACACACTTCTATATATCATCAGGTATTTTTCAGGAAAAAAATGTGGACTGTGGCAAAAGAAGCCACATATATTACAAATGTGCGAAACAATGTACCTTGTACTATCCCATACCCTGCCTCTCACCACCATTTCATTTTTCCTTATTGGTGCTAGGTGAGTGTGAAGTCTCAAGTTCCTACTGAACATTGCTGATAGCAGAGGGAGGAAGAGAAGAATGCTAATCACACCACTGTATTTTTATTCACTGATGTCAGGCGGAAGTGGAGCCAGTACTCCCCACTGGCCCTGCTAACAGGGGAAGGGAAAATAGGGGGTCCAATTAGTCCTGTTTCAGTCTCATTGCCACCAATTTGATGTGGGTCTTTATTTCTCCCACTGGGCCTTGATAACACTAGGGATAAGGGGAATGTGAAGTGATTTTTAGTCCTGTCTTGCTCCTCTTTTTTCAGCCTTGTTGATGACAGAGAGGTTTGGAAGGGAAACTTCCACTGTCTCACTGAACCTCATTGACATGGAGTGGGAGTGAAGCCTAATGGTGACTAGTTCCATCTCTCATTACCTCATTAAGTCTTACTGCTAGTGTGTGGGAGTGGGTCTCAGTTTGCCAATGGACCACACTGACACTACCTGCTAAAGGAATCAGAGCACTGCCTGCTTCACCCAGGTGGTGCAGCTCCCTGCTCAAAGTGCTAACACTGCTCAAGTGGGGGGAGAGAAGGACTGTTTGCTTCCTCCCACCAGGGGATGAATGATTAGCTCCCTTTTAACCTTACAAACACCATCCAGCAGAGGAATTGATTGCACTACTTGCTTCCATAGGAAGTGAAGGGTGTGGGGTGGAAGATCAATTTGTTGTTAGGCCTAGTGAAACTGTGTAGAGTAGGTTATGAAATTTTTCAACCAGGATTTGGCTAAAGATATAAATGAGTATTGTCAAAAATGTGTGTTCTGTTGTTAGGTCATGTTTTTCACAAAGGGAATGAGTTTTTCTTGTAGTTTCGTTGTTGTTATTGCTGCTGCTGTTTATTTCCCAATTCCTGTTACCACTTGTGTTGGTGTCTTCTGCAGCGCCCTCTCAAGGATGTATGGGAAGAAATAAACAAAACAGGAAACTCACTGTAATTTTGTTTCTTGCAGTGAGTACTCAGGTAATAATTAGGTACTTAGGCAGACTTCTGACATTTAATGTTTATTTACTGTGTTATGTCCAGGGCATTTTTAATTGTAAAGAGAAAAACCTGGGAGAAATGGTATTATTATATCTTGGTAGACTGAAGTTTCTTCACTTTTAAAAGATAGTTTTGCTGAATGTCAAACTCTAGGTTAACAGTCTTTTTCTTTCAATGCTTTGACTATGTCATTTCAGTGACTTAAAGTCTTCTTGATTTCTAATGAAATATCAGCTATTAATCTTTTTGAGGATACCTTTATGTAATAAATCATATTTCTCTTGTACTTTTCATGATGTTTTATTGTCTTTTTCTTTTAGTAGTTTGATTGTGATGTATCTGGTATCATGTCTTTGGGTTTATTCCATGTAGAGTTTATTGAGCAACTTGGAAGGGCGCATTAATTTTTAAAATCAAATGTGGAATGTTTTAGGCCATTATATCTTCAAATAATAATTTTGCACTGGCTCTCTCTCTCTCTCTTCCTTCCAGAACTTCAGTCCTATAGATGTTGGTACACTTGATGATGTCCCTCAGGTCTCTAAGGACCTGTTCAATTTTCCTCATTGTTTTTCTTCCTTTTGTTTTTCATACTGAGAGGTGACAGCGTGCTGGCAGTCCTCGCTCGCGGTGCCTCATAGGCCGGCTCCCTCTGCTTGCGGGGAGGTGTGGAGGGAGAGGCGCAGGCAGGGACTGGGGCTGCGTGCGGCACTCGCAGGCGCTCACAGGCCAGTGCGAGTTCCGGGTGGGCGTGGACTCAGAGCGCCCTGCACTGGGAGTGGCTGGCCAGAGCCGCAGGCCCAGGGCAGTGAGGGGCTTAGCAACCAGGCCAGCAGCTGCGGAGGGTGCAGCTGGGTCCCCCAGCACTGCCAGCCTGCCCGCACCGAGCTTGAATTATCCCCGGGCCTCAGTCGCCTCCCTGCTGGGCAGGGCTTGGGACCTGCAGCCCGCCATACCGAGCCTCCCCGACCACCCCGTGCCCCTCCCCCCCACGCCCCCTCCCCCACGCGTCCCCCCTCCTGTGGTCTCCCACGCTGCCCGAGCCTCCCCTGACCTACAGGCGCTGCCCATGTTCCGAGGTGCCTAGTCCCATCGATCACCCAAGGGCTGAGGAGTGCAGGCACGCAGCACGTGAGGGATCCACTAGGGAAGCCAGCTGGGGTCCTGAGTCCCCTGGGGACTTGGAGAACTTTTAGGTCTAGCCAGAGGATTGTATATGCACCAATTAGCACTCTTTGTCTAGCTCAGGGATTGTAAATGCACCAATCAGCACCCTGTCAAAATGGACCAATCAGTTCTCTGTAAAACGGACCAATCAGCTCTCTGTAAAATGGGCCAATCAGCAGGATGTAGGTAGGGTCGGATAAGGGACTAAAAGCATGATGCCTGAGCCAACAGAGGCAACCCGCTGGGGCCCCCTTCCACACTGTGGAATCTTTGTTCTCTCGCTCTTTGCAATAAATCTTGCTGCTGCTCACTCTTTGGGTCTGCACTGCCTTTATGAGCTGTAACACTCACCGTAAAGGTCTGCAGCTTCACTCCTGAAGCCAGCGAGACCACGAACCCACCGGAATGAACGAACAACTCCAGACGCGCTACCTTTAAGAGCTGTAACACTCACCGCGAAGGTCTGCAGCTTCACTCCTGAAGCCAGAGAGACCACGAACCCACCAGAAGGAAGAAACTCCAGACACATCTGAATATCTGAAGGAACAAACTCCGGACATACCATCTTTAAGAACTGTAACACTCATCATGAAGGTCTGCGGCTTCATTCTTGAAGTCAGCAAGACCAAGAACCCACCAATTCCGGACACAATACTGGATAATCTCAATTGACCTGTATTTAAGTTCACTGATTCTGTCTTTTGCCAGTACAACTCTTGCTGTTAAGATCCTTTAGTAATTTTTTCATTTCAGGTATTGTTCTTTTCAACTCCAAAATTTATATTTTGTTATATTTTATAATGTCTATGCCTTTATTGATACTATTTACTAGTTAGGCATTGTTTCTATACTTTTATTCAATTTTTAGACATGGTTTACTTAGGGATTTGAAAATGTGTAAAATAGCTGATTTAAAGTCTTCTTGTCTAGTAAGTCAAATATCTAGACCACCTGAGGGACAGCTTTCTATTGACTACTTTTTTTCTATATTGGCCAATTTTTCCTGTTTCTTTACTTGGCTTGTAATTTTTGGTTGAAAATAAAACAATTTAGATAATATAATGTAGAAACTCTGGAAAGCAGGATTCTCTGCTCTCTCTCTGCAGGACTTGGTTTGTTATCCTTTTTGTTTGTCTTTGTTTCCTAACATTCCTGAACTTTGCATTTCTTGTAGTGTGCAGCTACTGACAACTCGACGTTGTTGGGTTAACAGTAGCTAATGATCAATGAGGGATATCCTTGAATATCTTGAATCGATAATTATTTAATTATTTGCTGAGACCTCCATGTATGTTGGGACACATTCACCAATCAGGCAGTATGCATCTCTGCCTTACCCTACACTTCTTTTCAGGACCTCAGGCTAAGCCAGAGTTGGAAGACTGGGCCCCTCTAAGATCTTTCCTGGGCATGTGAACCACCTTCAATGTCTTCAGGAGTATTATAGAATTTTTTAAATTCTTATATAGACATCTTATTTGCCAAATATTTTACTTAAGTTTTGTTTTTTTCAGAATCTAGTTGCTCCAAGTGGTTTTACAGCTTCAGGAAGCGGTAATATTAGACAACTTCCACTGATTATTCTCAACAAACTTCCTGGAGATAGGGCTTTCCCGATATTGGAGGGAACTTTGCATCAAGTCAAATAATGGCAATATTCTATAAATGAGGATGTTCTAAGCAGTTATAAGAAAGGTGAAATCATGTCATGCTCTGTGGATAAAAATCTTTGAAGAACTCCAAACCAATCTTCCCTGTCAATTGCTGCAAGTCTGGTTTTCACAGCCACTATGGTTGTGAGGTTGCTTCTCTTCAAGGTTTGTATGGAGATGGGGAGAGGAAGATGTGACTAAGTCAAGTTAAAAGGCCATGAAGTTATCTGTACTTAGTGGCCATGCAATCTTTCTTTAGTAAACACCTCTCAGAATTTACCAAGCCTTTGTATAACTTCTAGAGTATAGTAAAAGTTGATTTTGATAATTTTTGACAGTGTTCTTGTTACTTTAATAGAGGAATGGGTTTAAAAAGGCTCTCACTTTGCCATCCTGGAAGTGCTTTATATCATTTAGCATAATTGCCAAAAACAAATAAAAAGTAGAAACAATTTTAATTTTAAAGATATTCAAATTCACCAAAGCATTTAATATGTAAGCTCAAATGTGTACGTAGTGATTACAAATTCATAATATCTCATGGGTAGTTCTCACTACGTTTCTCTGGTTCAAATTTTAAAAGCAAATTTCTAAGTGGTCACACTGAGTAAATTGAATAATTCTAGTTATATTTCTTGTCTTTACAACCATTAACATTACTTACTTTGCACTGTAACCTATTGTTATGCATACTGTTTATGTATGCACATGTATACTGTATGTATATACATATAAGCAGAAGTATATAAGGCTACAGAGGTTAGAGTCACAAACTGTCTCTAGCCAGCTAATTCACTCGTAAAGTGAATTCACGTACATGAGTCCAGATATTGGGTTAGGTGTTGTCGGTATAAGTGGAACTTGCCTATATTAACTTATATTTAGAATAAAATGTTTACTAGAGGATAGTAATAAGATATGCTAATTTGAAGCACATCTCTATATAATTTTAACCGTAACAAGAGCAAATGATTAAAATGTAGTACCAGGAAAGATATTTTTGGAAAAGTATTTTATCAATGACTTTTTAAAGATGTATTGGTTCTTGGAGATAATAAAAAGCAGTCTAACTGTTATGGCTTTTATTACTGTTCTTATATTTTCTGCCGAAAATTTACTCTTCATTGTTTGCAGTTGAAGCAATTTGTCCCCCTCTCTCCATCTATAATATGCAATGTTCCAAAGCTCAGTGAGTTTTTACAAGCTTGTCTGTTATCAAGATAGTGTTAATTTCATCATACCACTCTTCTTTTACTTACTGGTCTTAGATAGATCCAAAACAATACATTTTAACATGTGCAATGCTGATGCTTCCAGGTGCTACAAAACTAGTGATAGCCTGGATTTATCACTTTTCTCATTAAGATGATATATTGAGCCATAGTAACACATAATTCATACATGATTTTTGTTTTTGATCTTTAATGAATGTTTTGAGAATTTCCTTTGATTTTTAAAATGAAATAAGATTTCATCTGTCCCTCTAGACATGACAGAAAGGTAAATGCAACGTAGTTTTTGCTTTTTCTTCCTATGAAAAATCTTCCACTTCTCAGGTTGACACTGATTCTATGCTTACAAAGTCAAGACAAATAATGAGCATATTCTGATGCTACAGATTTAATGTTTTCTCCCTCCAATATCATATTTGTTTTTAAATTCAAGCCATTAAGGTGCTTTTCCAAACACAAGATAAAGGTATCTACATTTGCTATCTGAATGGTCTTTAGACATTTTGTCCAGTAGCTACCTAAGTAATACCATGCATATTGCTCTTGTTGCTTAATAGTACCTCTGGTCGCATCTTTTCTCGTTGGAGTCCCTGATCTTTCAGCACTCTGTTACCCTGGCTGTAAGTATCGTAAACCAAAAGTCCCTTTGTTTTTCTTTTGATAATTTTAATACTGGAACACTATAAAATGGTATTTCTCCTTATCACTTAAGGTTATCTTCACCTTTATCTGTAAGAGTCAATTTTATTTTTTAAAGAAGGTATCAGCAACCTTTGTTCTATAGGGTCAGATAGTATTTTAGTTTCACAGGGATATAATCTTTGTTGTAACTATTCAGCTTTATATTTTGTACTACAGACAATATGTAAATAATTATGCATGACTATTTTCTAATGTATTTTTGGATGTGGAAATTTGAATTTTATATAATTTTACATTTTACAAAATATTCTTTGATTATTTAAAATAATTTGAAAAGAACAAATTATCTAAGTTCATAGCTGTACAAAAACATGAAGATTAGATTTGGCTGAAAGGCCATAGTTTGCCAATCCTTAGGCTAAAGAAAGAATATCTTTATAGCCCTCCCATTGCCTGTCAAGTTGTTGTCATGTTCCTAGTCAGGGGATAAAAATTGCAACCTGAATGAAGACAGAGGTTTCTACATTTAGTTTTAAGAAGGTCTGATAAAGTTCTGGAAAGATAGGCCATGTTTAGAGAATGGGGAGAAGTTTACGTGAAAATCACCAAAGCTGGAAAGGGTGTTGGAGTTTTCTGATAAGTAAGCAGCAGGGACATTGACTTGTAGGCCTCCACAATGAGTTTATAAAAATCAGCCCTTTTAAGACTAGAGGGAACTGCTCAAGTATTCATGTTGTACAAGTAGCGCATCTAAAGTAGTAATGTAATAAGCTGGTTGTATACACACACACACACACACACACACACACACACACACACAGACTGCAGTATACAAAACATCTAAGAATAAGTTTTACTCCTGGGATCGGGGGAAAGGAACAATAAGAACTGATGTGGTTTGGCTATGTCCCAACCCAAATCTTATGTTGTATTGTAGTTCCCATAATTCCCACGTGTCGTGGGAGGGACCTGGTGGGAGGCAATTGAATCATGGGGGAAGCTACCCCCATGCTGCTGTTTTCATGATAGTGAGCAAGTTCTCACAAGATCTAATGATTTTGTAAGGGTTTTTTCCTTCTTTTCTTGGCACTTCTCCTTCCTGCCATCATATGAAGAAGGATGTGTTTGCTTCTCCTTCCACCATGATTGTAAGTTTCCTGAGGCCTCCAAAGCCATGTGGAACTGTGAATCAATTAAACCTCTCTTCTTTATAAATCACCCCGTCTTGGAAGTTCTTTATAGTAGCATGAGAACGGACTAATACAAGGACATTGTGTCATTTAAAATCTGAAAAGGATTTCTGTCTGTTGGGAGCATTAGCAGTGCCATTTTTAAGGACATTTGTGCCTGGGGGGAAACAGTAGCATCCTCCTTGTGAATCTAATATGTTTGAAATGTTAAAATCAAGTAAAACATCAGTTGTCCATGAATGGAAAAAGTGCAAGAAAAATGGAAGTAAGAATGTCTATGTTATATTTATTCAAACATAAATTAATCACTTACTGTCTATGCTAGGTTTTGCTTTCATAGCATTACTTAAGAATTGCCCAACTACATCTGGAAAGAAAAGGCAGTGTTTTATATCTAGATCATGTGGGTACTTTATTTGTAACATGACGCTTATGAGTGATTTCATTCAGTAAGAAATTCAAGTCTGACTCTAAATTCAAAGCTCTTACTAAAACTCTTTAGCATTCTCCCTTGGTATTTAAAATACATTAAAGGCTGTTTATCGGCATTCTTGAAAGCCAATTAAAAGCCCTCCTGTGACTCACATAGAGACCTCATGTGTTCCTCAAAAATGTTACGGTTGAAGAATAATTTAATTAAGAAAAAAGCAGTGGGTTTCTGAGCAGCTTAAAAGTGAGGTGCACTTGGTGGGAAGGGTCAGGGAGAGGGAGTCATTGCTTCCAGGAGGAGAGGAGAGAAAAGAACCTTTTTCAGCTTTTGCATTATAATATCTGGTTCACATCATGGCATGGTGTTGAGCAGATTGGGAAGAAAGTAAGAAAACACTAGAGTTTTTCTTTAAGCTTCAAACTGAGTTTCAGTCAAAGGCATAATATTTTAGAGTTATGTTGGTCATTTTAATCCATTTTGAATTTCCTAAAATATTTTCCTTAAAAACATTGTGTAATTTATTTCTTTCTGGAAGATACAAATTGCATGCATATCACCATACGTACAATTGTAATCTCCTATCCAAAAGAAGATTTTTTAAACTAAATTCCTATCCTTTTTAAAAATATCAACTGTGATACATTGTATCAAGGAAAATTACAAAGACTTACATGATAAAAGACATAGTATGGCAACAGGATAGAAAGTGTTGACAAGGCAGGGGATAGGGAGTGAAATTAAATGTAGCTTAAGAGATAGATTATGCGAGACTATTACAATAATTATTACTATCTTTATCTTCATGAAGAGCCAAATGGAAGCTATTAAAGATTTTCAAATGAGGGTGGGAATGTCAGTTACTAAGATTTGAAATTCAAAAGGCTGCTATGGCTGCATTACAAAGAATACTTTAGTATCTAGAAAAGAGACAGGGGGACTGGTTATTAACAAAATCTTGTGCATGAATGGGACAATTTAGAGTGAAGAAGAGGGGAGCTACAAATGAGGCACTAAAACTACACTTATACCCTGCATGTAGCTTCCTTAAAGTCCATTCCATATTGTCTCCTTAATTCAGGATTCTTCTATCCTGTGTTCTTAGAATCATCAAATATACGATTGATTCTGTCCAAATGCAATTGGGTGTTAGCAAGCTATGTAGAAAGCACTATGCCAAGCAACAAAATGATGACACATATTTAAATAATTATCACAATAAGAAAAGCTAATGTAGTTGTATGAAAAGTGCTACAGAAACCTGGAGTGCTTAAGCATTGATTAAATATATGAAGGAAATCAGGACAGTGTTTACACAGAAAAATAAAAGAAGATAAGCAAAGTATTGGCTCTAGTTTATAGGCAGAATCATGAATTTTAGGCTCATGATGCAGTGAGTGTTAATGTTATTAGAAACTGGTAGCAAAATTTCTCATAAGAATATTTTGTCTTCTTTAGTCAACTGTAAAGGAGTTTTGAGAATATTTAACCAATTCTTCTTTGTGTATCTTAAAATATTTTATGAGTCACACAACTGAATTACTTTTTAATAGAGCATGTTTTCTTTCCAAACTAATTTTTGGTGAAAAAAACTGAGCTATTTCCATGTACAAATATTTAATTAAATCTAAGATGTATTCGATCAAATATTATTATGTGGATTTTTCTATAATACAACTAACTGCTCAATCTCATCACCAAAAAGTATGATATGGTATTCTTAGTATGAGAAGAAATAAATAACAATTTAATTAATCATTATACAATTAAAATAATTTAATATAAGAATCAGGGTACCTGGACCATTATTTCATGTCTTATACCAGCTATTCTAATAGTTTGCAGGGGTATCCAATCTTTTGGCTTCCCTGGGCCACATTGGAAGAGGAATTGTCTTGGACCACACCTAAAATACACTAACGATAGCTGATGAGCTAAAAAAATCACAAAAAAAACACAATGTTTTAAGAAAGTTTACAAATTTGTGTTGGGCTACATTTAAAGCCATTCTGGGGCACTTGCGGCCCATGGGGCACGGGTTGGACAAGATTTGTTTAAAGTAAAGCATTTAAGAAGGGAAAGGAAGAAAATAACATGTTTAAGAAACAAATATAATGGGTATTTTCACTCACAGAGTGTCTCACATGCCACATGATGGGTCCATTAACCTCATTTGGTGAATTACGGTAATTTATGGCCTGTCTCTACAGCCCCACGCCCTCGACACAAAAATTGAAAGCTTTGAATAGTATCTGTCTTGAATGTATTTGTAGTAACTGTCACCATATGTTATCTGTGTTTATATATTTTTATAAGTAAAGATATTAAGTGAATTACAAAGTTAAGTATGCCCTAAGAGGTTATACTGTTAGAGCAAATACACCCTAAAAGAGTAAACTATTTATTTTTTGTAAATGATGTTAACAACTTTTAAAAGGTGAAGTTTAGTGAAAGAGAAAAAAAAAAAAGGAAAAGAAAAGAGAGATACAGGTATATATTTGTTGGCCACAAAATTGCCCCAAGATCTAAGAAACATTATTAGAAACATATGATTGCCTCTGAGTGTATAATGAAAAGAACAAAACAGAACAAATATGGCAAAATTTACATTGTTCAGAATAATGTGATGACTTACTTAGGCTGAAGACAATTTTGAGTACGTTTATATGCTTATGACCCTATGAAGTGTCTGTTTCAGAAATTTGGTTCATCTATGTTGTAGCAAATAAGAAATTTATTCTTTTTTATGATCAATAATATTTTGATATGTGTATACTACATTTTGTTTATCAGTACATCAGTTGATGGGCTTTTGGAGTGTTTTCAGTGTAAGCTACTACTAACAATATTGCAATGAATGAACTAACACCAATGCACTAGTTATATTTTTCTTTATTTTTTTTAACAACTATTTTAATTTCTCTTTGATATACTTCTGTTTTCCATAGTGGCTATACCATTTTACATCCCCACTAGTATTAGATGAGGATTATTAATTTTTGTATTCTAGTTAACACCTGTTATTCTCAGTTTCTTTGAGTATTTATCCTCATGGGTGTGAAGGTGTATCTCATTGAGATTTTGGTTTGTGCTTCTCTCAAGACAAATGATACAGGCATTTGTTCATATGCCTGTTAGAAATATCTATATCTTCTTGAAAGAAATGTCTATTCAAGTCATTTGCCCAGTTTTAAATGAGGTTGTTGGTCTTTCTGTTATTGAGTTGTAAGAGTATTTGATATCTTAATACTAGATAATTATCGGGTATATAATTTGCAAATATTTTCTCCCATTTTATTGCCTTTTCACTTTCTTGACAGACTCCTTAAAAAGTTTTTAATTTTGGTGAAGTCTACTTAATCAAAATCTTTTTAAAATTTTGTTTCTTGTGCTTTTGGTGTTACACTTCAAAAACTGTTGCCCAATTCAAGATCGTAAAAATTTATACCCCTCATGTTAATAGTTTTATAATTTAGCCCCTATATTTAGGTATTTTTATTCATTTTCAATTAATTGTTTGCACATGGGGTAGATAGAGTTCCAAATTCATATTGTTGCATGTGGCATGCATTTGTGAAATACACCATTTTTTCCCATTAATTGGGTCTAACGTCATGGTTGAATGTCAAGTTACTACTGAAATATGGGTTTATTTCAGGATTCTTTTCATCTATATCTATGCCCTTATGCAAGTAGCATACTTTTTAATTACTGCAACTTTGTGGTATATTTGAAATTGTAAAGTGTGAGTCTTCCAAAATTGTTCTTGTATTTCAAGATGGTTTTGGCCATTTGGGGAACCTCATAATTTCACAATCAACTTAAAAAACAGCTTTACGTATCTGCAAAGAAAAAAAAAGGCAGTTAGGAATTTAATAGTGGTTGCATTGAATGTATAGCTAATCTGAGTAGTATTGTCATCTTAACAATATTAAGTCTTTTAATCCATGAGCATGGGATGTCTTTCAAGTTGTTTAGATGCTCTTTGATTTATTTTAACAGTGTCTGATAGCTTTTAGCATACAAGTCTTACAGTTCATTGGCTAAATTTTCATACTGATGAATTTAAAAATAAAATTGTTGTGTGTGTGTGTGTATGTATAGATTATTTAGGATTTTCAGTATATAAGATGATGTTATCTGTGAATAGAGATTGTTTTATTGCTCTTTTTTTTAATTTGGATGCTTTTTTTTCCTTATCTAATTGTTCTGATTAGAATTCCAGGATAATGTTAAATAGAAATGCCAAGAATAAACATTTTTTCTTGGTCTTAGGGAGAGAATGGAAATCTTGTCTTATTCCTGATATTAAGACAAAATATTTTGGTCTTTTACCATGGATGACCTTTAACAAGTTAAGAAAATTCCCTTCTTTCAAAAAAAGTTTTCATTTTTTAAATTAAGAAAGGGAACTAGATTATGTGAAATGCTTTTGTTTTACATCCACTGAGAACACATGTTTTATCCCCTTTATACTCTGTATATGGTATACTAAATTGATGGGTTTCCATATGTTGAACCATTTTTTTTTTCCTGAAATAAATTTTACTTTGTCATGATGTATAAACTTTTTAATATATTGCTGGATTTGTTTATAGCATTTTTGATGATGTTTGCATCTACATTTATAGTAGATATTGGTCTACAGTGTTTGTTTTCTTGTGGCATCTTTGTTTCATTTTGGTATTAAAGTAATGCTAGAATAAAGTAGGGAGCTCCCTAATCCTTTCCTTTATTTTCTTTCTTCCTTTTTGTTTTATTTTATTTTGAAACAGTATTAGAAAGACTTTACTAATTCTCTTTAAACATTTCATAGAATTTACCTGTGAAACAAACTTGCAGTGTACTTTTCTTTGTTGAATTGTTTTGTTTTGTTTTTGATTCCTGATTCAGTCATTTTACTTCCTGTAAAGTTAATTCAGATATCGACTGTTTTCACTTGTGTCAGCTTGTGTGTTTCTAGAAATTTGTCTATTTTTCTAGGTTATTTAATTTAGTGGCACACAATTGCTTATAATATTATCTTATAACACTTTCATTATTTTTAAGGGTTGGTAGTAATATCCCAAATTGTATTCCTGTTTTTAATAATTTGAGTCCTCGCTCTACTTTTCTTGGTCAGTCTAGCTAAAGATTTGTCAATTTTTTTGATCTCTTCAAAGACCCAACTTTTGGTTTCATTGACTCTGTTGTTTGTGTGTGTTCTGTCTCATTTATCTATTATCTCATATCTTTTACTTCTTTTTTTCTTTTGATTTAGGTTTAGTTTCCCCTTTGTTTTCTAACTTCATAAAGTCTTTGTTTAGATTATTGATTTGTAATCCTTCTTCTCTTTGGAGGCATTAACAGCTGTAAATTTCACTAAGAACACGATTTTCACTGCATTGCATTAAGTTTTAGTATGCTGTGCTTTCATTAACCTCAATATAATTTAAATTTCCCTTGTGATTTCTTCTTTGATCTATTATTTGTTTAAATTAAGCATTCTTTAATTTCCCCATACTTGTGTATTTTCCAGATTTCTTTCTGTTATTGATTTTAAGATTCATTTCTTTTTGTTGAAGAAGGTATATGCTATGATTTTAATCTATTAAAGTGATTGAGACATATTTTGTGGCTTAACCTATGGTAGTAACTGATAAGTTCCAAGTCAGATGAAATAAAGGCAAGCGCTTTATCTGGTCCTTCAGGGAGCCATTGGCCAGGTCAAAATAAATCACCTGATCTCTCAGGTATTAGGTACATATCAGGAATGAAGGCTGTCCTCAAGGCTGCCACAAAACTGGAAGTGGAGAATGATACAAGAGGAAGTCAAATCACCACAAACCTCTCTTATCAACAGTCAGCTATTTTCCTGGATTTAGAGTTTTTCTCGTTATTGTAAGCTTTTGATTAGACTCCAGATTTCTAAAAAAAGGTGATTCTGACAGTTTTTATGTCTGTTCATTGCTTTTGTGGAAAGATGGACTTTCAGAATTTTCTCCTTTACCATTTCTACTAACGTCATCCTGTTTTTCAGTACTTTTGAGAATTTTTTTTTTTTAAATTTGAAGTCAAATTTATCAATTTTTCCTTTTATGTTTCTTTTAAGTTTTAGCTTTTATGCACATTTAGAAATCTGTGACTACCTTAAAGTAATGAAGATATTATCCTACTCTTTCTTTAAGACAACTTGTACTTTTAGTTTCCATGTTAGAATCTATGGTCTAACTCAATCTATGATCTTCAGTTAATGTGCCCCATTGCTTTTTTCTTTATTCTACTATCTTTAAATTAATTGTGTATTATATACTATTTTATATATTGTATATCTACTTCTGGAATATTAGTTACAGGTCCATATTTTGTGTTTTCAGTGTATGCTATAGGGAAGAACTGCCGAGATTATTTATCACTTTGTTCTTTTATGTTTAAGTTTTAGCCTTTCTGTGCTCTCAGAAGTCTGTGACTACCATAAAGTGACAAAGATATTCTAATACTCTTTAAGTCAACTTAATTTTAGTTTATAAGAATCTATGGTCTGTCTTGAGTTAATGTGCCCTATTGCTTTTTCTCCCCCTCATTTTTTTGTTAAATTAATTCACATTCTATTTCCAATATCAGAAAAAAGCTTTTTGATGTGTTTCATCCAAACTTAGAGTTAGTTAATGTGGAATAGCTAATTCAAGAGTAGATACCACTTTTTAAAAATTTAATAATTTATTTTTTTAGGTCCTGTTTCCCCAAACAAGGCTACGTTTATATTTGCTGGTAGATATAATCCCACCTCACCTCCCTAAGGAAACCTAGCCAATTAGTATTGAAAAAATTGGCTTTCTCATATCTTAATTCTAAGCAAAAATTTTCCACATATCTAATTATGATTTAAGTAACATAACTTGAAATGTAATATTGGTCACAACTCTCACATTATTACCTTACTTGTGAAAGGGCATTTGCTATGATTGATACCTAAGAACAATGTTATATTTAAAATTCAATACTGTTTTATTTTAAATATAAACTTTAATACTGTTTTATTTTAAATATAAAATTAATTAATTAAAAAAATATAAAAATATTTTAAATATAAAATAAAACAGTATTAAATTTTATATAGAAAAATAATGTTATATTTAAGAGAGAATTGGAAATGGGAGAATATGCTATTTAATTATTCCAAAGTTTTTTAAAAATCCAATACCAGTATTGGCCATCATTCTAATATATCTGTTTAATTTCTCATTATATCTGGACACACATAGTATAAAACAGTGATTAAGAGTCTGAGTTTTGAAGTTAAATAAATAAAGATTAGAATGAAATTATAGCTGCTATCAATTTTGTGGCTTTGACAAATTATTTTATATTTCTAATAAGACTTCTCTATCTATATGTTGATAGTTAATACTCTTATATATATTATAATAATATAATTAGATTATGTATATAAACTTTTAGTACATTTACAACCACATAGCAGAGACTTAATAATTTATATCAATTTTTATCCTTTACAGCCTTGAGTTTAATATTTTACCTCAGTAAAGACACTTGAAACAAGATCTATTTCTAATAACAATGTTTTAGTTTGTTTAAAAATAGGGCGTGGTGGCTCACGCCTGTAATCCCAGCATTTTGGGAGGCCGAGGCGGGTGGATCATGAGGTCAGGAGTTCGAGACCAGCCTTGCCAACATGGTGAAACCCTGTCTCTACTAAAAATACAAAAATCAGCTGAGTGCGGTGGCACATGCCTGTAGTCCCAGCTCCTCAGGAGGCTGAGGCAGGAGAATCGTTTGAATCCAGGTGGCACAGGTTTCAGTGAGCCGAGATCGTGTCATTGCACTCCAGCATGGACAACAGAGCAAGACTCCATCTCAAAAAAAAAAAGAAAAAAGAGGCCAAAAATTCTAATTATTATTATTCAGTAGGAGAGGAATAAATAAAATGATGTAAAAATTGGCTTTTTTTCAGACATGGAAATAACTTCTGGTGTACACACACAAATACAAGCAAACAAACAAAATCAGCCTTGTTTCTATTGCTAACAAGTCGATACTCTAGAGATTTCAATAAAGAAGATTTATTATAAAAAGAAATAAAGGCAGTTGGCAAAATGCCAAATTTGTTCATTTGGTGCATTTGTATTAATTGCTAAGTCACGCAAAAAATCAGTAGAAAAACTAGAAAACTCTTTAAGATAAATAACGTGTCTCGTGTACTTGACTTCAGTTCTGACCTTCATTTTTTTAATATACTTCTCATATATTTATATGTGATATTGATAGTGAAACTGTCCTTGATTTTTTAAATATATTTCTCATATATTCATATGTGATATTGATGGTGAAACTGTCAATAGTTCACGCAGCTTTTGTAATCCAAATGTGATTTTCTGAACAGATATCGACTGTCATTTCCAGTATTTGGTGGCAAAGCAAACATGATCTGATAGAATTTGTATTCCTAAAACACTAATGAGTATATTGTGAGGAAATTATCGGCAAGAGCATATTTGTGGCTATGATCTTCCAGACCCCTTTAAATTAAGTGTTTTAAAATGAGACGCCCAAATTTGCAATGTTAGGTTATGATTAGCCCCATCTCCCAACTATAGTCGAATACACATGGGAAAATCATGGGATGCTGATTACAACACCTGGTGACCAGCTTAAGTGGTCTGCAGCTAATAGGAGTTTTTGGGACCCGCCTGACAGCTGCCAATTTGAAAGTGTACTTTACTTCAAACCTACCATTAATTTAGCGGAAGTAGAGTAGTGAAGTGCAACTAAACACGACTGCTGCCAGAGTCCATCACTGTGAATTTGACAAAGATCTTTTAAGAGGGATATTCTTATTCCCCAAACAAAAGAACAAAGAGAAACTGTATCTTCAAGGATAAGAGTTACGGACCATTTAACTTTATGAATAATATGGGTTTTTTTTTGAACTTTTATTTTAGGCTCGGAGGTACATGTGAAGGTTCACTACATAGGTGAATTCGTGTCATGTGGGTTTGTTGTACAGATTATTTAATCACCCAGATATTAAGCCCAGTATGCAATGGTTATCTATTCTGTTCTCTCCCTCCTCTCAAAGCCTCCACCCTCAAGTAGATTCCAGTGCCTATTGCTCCCTTCTTTGTGTGCATCAGTTCTCATCCTTTAGTGAAAATATGTGGTATTTGGTTTTCTGTTCTCGGGTTAGTTTGCTAAGGATAATAGCCCCCAGCTCCATTCATGTTCCCACAGAAGACATAATTTTGTTCTTTTTTATGGCTGTATGGTATCCCATGGTATAGATACACCATATTTTCTTTATCTAGACCATCACTTATAGATACTTAGGTTTATTCCATGTCTGTGCTGTTGTTAATGGTGCTGCAGTTAACCTTAGCGTTCACGTCTTTATGGTACAGTGGTTTATATTCTTCTGGGTATACACCTAGTAATGGGATTGCTGGGTTGCATGGGTAGTTCTGCTTTCAGCTCTTTGAGATTTCAGAAATTAGCATTACTGCTTTCCACAATGGTTGAACTAATATACACTGCCTCCAACAGTGTGTAAGTGTTCCCTTTCCTCTGCAACCTTGCCAGGTTTTTTGTTTGTTTGTTTGTTTTTTTGAGACGGAGTCTCACTCTGTCGCCCATACTGGAGTGCAGTGGTGCCATCTCTGCTCACTGCAAACTCTGCCTCCTGGTTCAAGAGAGTCTCCTGCCTCAGCCTCCCGAGTAGCTGGGGTTACAACCGCATGCCACCATGCCTGGCTAATTTTTGTATTTTTAGTAAAGACGGGGTTTCACCATGTTGGCCAGGATGGTCTCCATCTCCTGACCTCATGATCCACCCGCCTCAGCCTCCCAAAGTGCTGGGATTACAGGCTTGAGCCACCGCACCCGGCCATCTGTTTTTGTTGTTGTTGTTTGTTGTTTGTTTTTATTTGTTTTTACTTTTTAATAATAGCTCTTCTGACTGGTGTGAGATGCTATCTCATTATGATTCTGATTTGTATTTCTCTAATTATCAGTGATATTGAACTTTTTTTCATATATTTGTTGGCCACATGTATGTCTTCTTTTGAAAAGTCTAGAAGTTAAAGCAGAAATCAAGAAGTGTTTTGGAACCCATGAGAACAAAAATAAAAGCAGTATCTCTGGAAACAGCTAAGGCACTGTTAACAGGGAAACTTACAACACTAAATGCTCACGTCAAAAACTTAGAAAGATCACAAATTAACAACCTAAAGTCATAACTGAAAGAATTAGAGAAGCTAGAGCAAGTCAACCCCAAAGCTAGCAGAAGTTAATATATAACCAAAATCAGAGATGAACTGAAGGAAATCTAGACACACACACAAAGAAACATTCAAAAGATCACTAAAATCTATGAATTCATTTTTTAAAAAAATTAATGATAGGTTGGCTAGCTAGACTCATAAAGAAAAGAGAGAAGACGTAAATAAACACAATTAGAAATGATGAAGAAAATGTTGTTACTGACCCCACAGAAATAAAAATAACCATCAGAAACTACTACGAACACCTCGATGTTTTATTTTCAACTGCAATAAAAGCATTTGAGAACTACATACGGGCTTATATCCCTGGGAGCATATATTTTACATTACCTTCTTGCTGATCAACCTAGAAATGGGCTGTTTCTATTTTTCCAATAAGTTTAGATGTTGCTTTCAACTTCTTACATAAATGAAATTTTCACAAGTCAAATAGAATTAGATAACATGAGATATTCATCACCATTTGATGCACTCCAAAGTTATGTCAAATTGAATATACTTTTCTGCTCTAGTTCAAATCTAATTATTAAGATGGTATGCGGCTATATAAGTATGTAAAGAAAATTTATTATTTTTTTAAATAGCAAACTTCAAATATACTTTCACATTTAAGCAGGTCTCTCACTAAATATAAATTGTGGACAGTGAGAAGTTTTATTTATATATTACTAAAATAATAAAGGGAAACTGCAAATCACTTTTAGTCAAACAGTCCATCCATTAGTTTTAATCCTCTCTCTCTCTAAATAAAACTAGGAAATATTTTTGTAGGAAAATACCTCCTTCTATTTGAAACACACTTCTAAGTATATTTTTTTATGTTCAAATAATGCAAAACATAGAGGAAATGAGCTGTTTTACATGATATTCTAAATATGACCCTTAACGTTTGTAGAAGGCAGAATAGTACTTAAGTTATGCCGTAATGAGGGGCTGAGAAATAGGTTGTTTCATTGAATAGATAAATGTGCCAGCAGTAAAATAAAACAAATAAAATCAAACAAACATATAAAAACAACCCAATGAGCTTCAGGAAGAATTGCAAATTAACAAACTATTCTTTTCTGCCTTCTGTGTGTTTGGTTTTTTTTTTAATTCTTCTGGTATTTCTCCCATTTTTTTTGCTCTTAATAAATCTTTTAAAATTTATCATAGAGTTTAAAATGGCTTGCTTAACTTTTGAGTCTAGGACGGTTTACCGCAATTAATTGTCAATATTCTTTTATTGCACAAGTTCTAACTCAAGAGAGGAATTCATATGTAACAGTTAATCACTTTATTCTGGATTAAGGAATAATAGTTTTCTGACAGGCTCTGGATGAAATTTTTTTCAACTTGATTCCACTCTATCCCATTGAGCATAAATTAAGATGAATCATTTTGTATGGATTCAGTTGTGGAGGTGTACATCGAACACAAGCACTAATTTATAGAGGTGCATTCTCTAAGAAGTGCGTGTGAGCAACATAGAAAGTTCAGTGCACACTTAGGACATATTTAAACAACAAAGTAATAGAAACAAGTAATCTGGCAATAAAGAAATATTAAACAAAGAATGCTACAAATATATAATAGAAAAATCTTTACTAGTGAGAGGTGACAACGTGCTAGCAATCCTCGCTCACTCTAGGCGCCTCCTCAGGCCCGGGCGTCCACTCTAGCCGCGCTTGAGGAGCCCTTCAGCCCGCTGCTGCACTGTGGCAGACCCTCTCTGGGCTGGCCGAGGCCGGAGCCAGCTCCCTCTGCTCATGGAGAGGTGTGGAGGGAAAAGCATGGGCGGGCGCCAGGGGCTGCGCGCAGTGCTCGCGGACCAGCGCGAGCTCTGGGTGGGCGCGGGCTCGGCAGGCCCCGCACTTCTAGCAGCCGGCCGGCGCCACTGGCCCTGGGCAGTGAGGGGCTTAGCACCCGGGCCAGCAGCTGCGGAGGGTGCGCCGGATCCCCTAGCACTGCCGGCCCACCCTCACCGCGCTCCAATGCTCCCCAGGCCTCAGCTGCTTCCCCACGGGGCAGGGCTCAGGACATGCAGCCCGTCATGCCCGAGCCCCCCACTACCAGTGGGCTCCGGCCTGGCCGGAGCCTCCCAGACAGCGCTGCCCCCTGCTCTGCAGCACCCGGTCCCATCTACCGCCCAATGGCTGAGGAGTGCGGGCGTGTGGCGGGGGACTGGCGGGCAGCTCCACCCGGGGCCCTAGCACGAGATCCACTAGGGGAAGCCAGCTGGGCTCTTGAGTTGATTGGGGACTTGGAGAGCTTTTATGTCTAGCTGAAGGATTATATATTTACCAATCAGCACTCTCTATCTAGCTAATCTGGTGGGGACTTGGAGAACTTTTATGTCTAGCTAAAGGATTGTAAATGCATCAATCAGTGCTCTGTGTCTAGCTCAAGGTTTGTAAACACACCAATCAGCACCATATCAAAACGGACCCATCAGCTGTCTGTAAAATGGGCCAATCAGCTCTCTGTAAAATGGACCAATCAGCAGCATGTGGGTGGGGCCAGATAAGGGAATAAAAGCAGGCTGCCTTTGCCGACAGTGGCAACCTGCTTGGGTCTCCTTCAAGATTGTGGCAGTTTTGTTCTTTTGCTCTTTGCAATAAATGTTGCTGCTGCTCACTTTTTGGGTCTGCACTGCCTTTATGAGCTGCAACACTCACTGCAAATGTTTGCAGCTTCACTCCTGAGGCCAGTGAGACCACGAACCCACCAGGAGGAATGAACAACTCCAGAGGGGAGGAACAAACCAACTCCACATGTGCTGCCTTAAGAGCTGTGACACTCATCGCAGAGGTCTGCAGCTTCACTCCTGAAGCCAGCGAGACCATGAACCCACCAGAAGGAAGAAACTCCAAACATGTCCAAACATCAGAAGGAACAAACTCCGGACACACCATCTTTTAAGAACTGTAACACTCACAGTGAGGGTCTGCGGCTTCATTCTTGAAGTCAGTGAGCCCAAGAACCCACCAATTCTGGACACATTAGCAATACCTATTATAAATATTGTGAAGAAACATAGAAAATTATTTTTGGCTACAATGATCTGATATCCCAGGTTGCCAAGGATAATAACCTAGAAAACCATATTTTCCTCAGCTTGACCAAATTTTAGACAGTCATCTTTCTGCCTCTGAGCCCCTGATTTCACCTTGTTACTTTTAAAGCAAAGCGTTTACTTTAGGGCAGTTCTAATTGCAAATTCCTTCTCTGAAACTTTGAGATATAAATCTTTTTAAAAGCCCTTGCCATATTTCTCAAGGAATAAGGAAACATCCTTTTGAAATATAATTGTCAAAGAAAGTAATGCCTCTCTTTCTCTCAGTGTCTGTAGGAAACAACAACTAACTTATGTATGTTCCCTACTCCAAGTTGTATAACTGCCTTCGGTCATGAAATTATAATATGAAATATTTTTTTCCTTTGGTTAAGGGCAAGTAACAAACACAGATGGCCTATGATTTTCCTTACTTAAGGTTGTAAAATCTCTCCAGCACTTTGTTTTAGTATTGTTCAGTTTGGACTCACTTTGGTCTTTCTCTCCTATTGCGATAGCTTTGAAAGAGGTCTTGCTTATAAAGAACGCTCTAAATTTCTTCGCCTTTTAATTTAAAAATTGTTGGAAATCTTAAGCTCAAATATTCAACAAAAAGAGTACCAAAAATTTTGGCTTTGAAGATTTAATTAAAGATAATTTAAAAAGTATGTCATTAAAATTTATACTTACTAAATCAATGTAGGATGTGAAAAATATAGAAAAATCAAATGAGTATACTTTTTATTTTGAAAATTTAAAATATAAATACTTGGAATAATCTTTTAATGGAGCTACTATTTAAAATTAAACTGATTTAGGGTTTTTCCCCCAGAATTATATAGAGTTGGGAAACTAATTTTGCAGTAATAAAGTTTGGTAGAATATTGAAAGTCATAAATAGTACTTATTTGATGAGTTTTGTCTTATGAAAATCTATGTAAAAGGAATTTTACATGAAGGCAAAATTCAGTATCCATGAAAACATTTGGGCTGAAATATTTGCATATTTCCATGTGAAAGGAAGTAGCATTGAAAATATTATCCTGTTGGCAAAATCTAATCAGTGCTTAAAATGTCCTGCATTAATAGCACAGACAGTATGTTTCCCGTTAAAAATAACATATGGTTTTAGCAGTAATTTCCAGTAAGCCACATCAACCACAAAATGGATACCCACTGAAAAAAATTTTCAGATCTTTAAGCTCTTTGTAATAACAGTATGGGCAGGAAACTCTGGCCTGGGTTTTAAAAAAATTTTCAGGGCTAAAACATTTATGACTAATTAAATTCACAACCAAAACCCTAGATAACGTATTACCTTATGTCAGAGGAGAATTATACGTTTCCAATTTAATGCTATTTTAATTCAGCTTCTGCTAAATTAGAGTTATTAAAATCTTCCGATTTATCTAAAATAGAAGATAACCTTGTTTTGTGACTCTACAGCTCTTTTGTACCCAATGTCAAATATACAATAAAATATACAGGTAAAGAGTAGAGGCAGAGATTTATAATCAATACAGAAAGTGAACAATAAAAAATTCATATATTAGAGAAAAGGATTTTACAATGAATGTTTTAAATATGATATAGAAACAGAAGAAAAATAGATGGAAATATAGAAAATGCTACTAGAAAGTTTAAACTTTTTAAACTATTAAAATGGGCTTTCTAGAATTGAAAAAATGCAATACCTGAAATTAATATCATAATGTGTACATTTAACAGCAGTTTGGACACAGAAGAATGCTGAATTAATGAAACTAAACACAAAAACAAGATAATGGAATAACACAAAAGGAAACATAAGATAGGAAAAGGAAAGAGAGAGAGAATAGAGATGAAAAGAAAAGACTAGGTCAGAGTTAAATAAACGTGTATCTTGCATACGGAAGAAAAGAAAGTATCAATCCACAGATTCAGCGAACATAGAATACTGCAAGCAGGATAGATTCGAAAATAACTTTTTAAAGCACATTATAGTAAATGCTGAAGACCTAAGACTGGGGGAAGAAAGACAAAAAGCCCCAGTAGAAAACAAGGCACTACTTTTAATGAAGCAAAAATAGAATCGACAGCTGGAATTTCAACAGAAATAAGGAAAGATGGAAGGCAGTGTATTAACATCTTTAAATTTCTGAAAGAATGTAACTGCCAACCCAGCATTGAAAAACTGAGCCTGTATCCTTCAAAAAGGGATAAATAAATATGTTTTTGGATAGACAAAGACTGAGGGGTTTTATTGTCAGCAGCCATGCAATACAAAATGGAAAATTTTAAATAATGACAGGGATGTGCCGAAGAAAATTTTGTATCAGACAGTACTAAATCAGCAATGCATATGGTAATCATTAGAGTTGTTATTAAAGAGATAATAAAACAATCTATAACAAATAGAAGAAAGTAAGAATCGCAAAAATGTTTAAAGGAAGGCAAGAAATCAAAATCAAAGAAATGTAAAATATGTATCTATACAAAATGAATAATAATATCGTGTATGTTAACCTAACTACATCAGTAATTGAAGTAATTAAATTATATGTAAATGTGTAAATGGACTATGTCTTTGTGTATACATAGATATAGATATGTATTTATATACTATTATCCCTGTGTTAAATACTGTATGTGTTCCCAATGTTGAATTTCTCATGAATGCTCACACACTGTGAGTTAGGGATATTACCAACATGTTAAATATGAAAAAAACAAAGTGCAAAAAGATCAAACTGTATGCCTGTCTGAGTCTGTTTGGGCTACCATAACAAAATACCATAGACCGGATACTGCTAGACCCTGCATTGAATAAGGTAGAAGTATTTTTGAAATCTATTGACTACTGTTTATTTCATGGTGTCTTTTAATTTCAGATTTAATATAATCCAAAAAGTTCAGGTTTGACAAACACTAAAACATTATTTACCATGTATATAATGTATTACAGTATATACTATATATATATATAATGTGTTATATACTATATATAATATGTACACAGATACATTCATTTTAAAATTTACAATTATATTTTGGAGAATATTTCTATATAAATAAAAAAATTTGTCCAAAGCATAGCATCAAAAAATTATGAAGATTTTGATTAATAGTACCTTTCAGATGATTACTTGAAACGAACTTCATAATTAACCCATTCAAGGATAAAAATGTCTGTATACATTTTGAAAATATAGACTATGTACCTTCTTGACATAGGAAGAAATAAGAATGAATACAAAAATATAATATTGGAACCTTCTAACCTCAGGTTTGCTTGGGTTTCTATAGAAACCAGAGATGCAGTCAAGAGATTGCATGCATGTAACTTATTTGGTAAAGTAATTTCCAGCAACGCTGAGCAGTGTTTCCCCACTGGTCCAGTACCTCCTTTCCAAACATCATGACTTTGTGAATGTTGGCAGTTTCCAGCAGATGTCTAGCCTACCCAAAGTGAAGCATCAGAAATAACCTGGGGCAGATAAAGGAGGTTCAGCCAAATCAAGATGCTAGGTCACAGCTGGGTGAAACTAGCTACAACAAAAATAAACAAAGTAAAAGACAAGCTGTGAAATTGGCAGGGAGTGAGCAAGAACTATGTGACACATTCCATAAATATGTAAATTACCACTTAGTAATTCACGCCAACTCTTTCAAGTAAAATTTATTTTTAAAAAAGTCTTTACCCTAAATGAACAATCATACATTCTTGAAAATAATCCCTGAGAATAAGATTAAATTTCCTCTTTAAATACTTTCAAGTTGTTAGAAAAAAATCTTGTGTACATTTACAAAATTTGCATCAATTTTTTGTAAGAATTTAATTGTGAAGTTTTTCTTTTCACTTTCTTAAAGAACAAGTATAATTGAATATTAAAATGTAAATATTCTTATAGTACTGTGTATTTGAGAAATGAATACAAAGTGTAGATCTGAAAAATATCACCAACTACTGGCCGGGCGCTGTGGCTCATGCCTGTAATCCTAGCACTTTGGGAGGCCTGGGCGGGTGGATCACGAGGTCAGGAGATCTAGACCATCCTGGCTAACACGGTGAAACCCCAGCTAACACGGTGAAACCCTGTCTCTACCAAAAATACAAAAAATTAGCCGGGCCTGGTGGCGGGTGCCTTTAGTCCTAGCTACTCTGGAGGCTGAAGCAGGAGAATTGTGTGAACCCGAGAGGCGGAGCTTGCAGTGAGCCGAGATTGCGTCCCTGCACTCCAGCCTGGGGGACAGAGCGAGACTCTGTCAAGAAAAAAAAAAAAAAAAAAATCACCAACTACTATGTGTCCCTCAGAGTTACTTATTTAAACTCAGTCTCCTTTTCTATACGCCTTGGTTATTCCATTCAAATAACATATGACTGTAATGGTTAAGAGGGTGACTGTGAGGTTGAACTTGTTTAAAAGCTCATTTCATTATTAGAATTAAGCTTTCCATCAATTGTCTGATCCTGGATATGTCACTTAGACTCTGTGACTCAGCTTCCTTATTTAAAAATAGGGAAAATGATATCTGTTTAATGCTTGCAATGTACTTAGAACACTCATTTAAATGGTTTTGCGAATGTATTTACTCAAAGGGATTAAGTAATTTGCCCTAGATCACATCACTTCTGACTAAATCAGGGGACTAGAGCCGTGACTGTTAAACTTTCATTCCACCCCATGCCATTCCCCACAGTGCCTAACACGATGGTTTTTGTGATGTCTTTTTTTCTCTAAAATGTATTAATTATATTATTTAATGAAAGAAAATTAGTATTTTAAATTATATAATGAGCTCCTCAGTAATCACTAATCAAAAAGTTTAGCTAATCACTACGGATTGATTGGTTTTGCTTTTGAGGTATTTGAACAATGTCTGGATAAATAAATGTCTTTTTATTTTAGCATTTATTGGAAAATATGTGAAACAGCCTGCTCTTAAGGATTTATCCTGATGCTTTTAGAAGAATTGGTATATTTTAGAAGCTCAAGCCTTATCCGGTTTGGGAAATAGAGAAGACTGACAAACTGATTCTTCCAATTGATTCTCTAACACCTTTCAGTGATATGCAGCAGAAAATGGGTTTATGATGCACCGTAAGACCAGAAATCAACAATAGTAAGCCAAATAGAAAAGTCAAAGAGAGTGTCCCTGGGGGCATCACTATGGAAACCAAGGAGGCTCAAGTTAGTAGTACAGGAGAAAGAGAAAGTGCTGGACAAGAACAGAGCCCGAAACAAATTAAACCAAAACCTTGTGGGTGCAGCTGAAGCAGTATTTATAATCCCTTACAACGCATGCCTTTATTTCAAATTTCTTTTCCCATGATGGTGCTAGGCTCTATAAACAGCCATGGCCCACAAGATCAGGCATTTCAACTCAAAATCACTACTTCATCATAACAAAACTTATTTCAAGCTACATTAGGCTTCCCCAGCTGGGCTAAATATGACTGTAATATAATGTTTGTTTCTAAAATATAAGGGAGGAACTTTCATTCAGTCACCAGTGACCTGAGACTGCTGTATCTTAAAATTTCCACTTAACTTCAGAGATATAAATTAGGTCCTGGTCTTCAGAGTTATAAATTAGACCTTGGTTTTCTCTCTGCCTTAAGAGAATTTAGGGGGAAAGACTCAAATAATTTCAAGGAGTTTTAAAGAATACCCACCCTTGAGAAATATTTTGGGAAAGAGTGGATATCCAGAGATATTGTAAAGAGAAAAGGTTTTGATTGTTGGGCTTCAATGTATATAAGGTCACGTTAATTCCATTTGTGGGTCTTCTACATTACTTTCAGCAAGTTTCACAATCTATATCCTAAAACCATGTATATTCTATGATTCTGTTTGTTCCAAGCAGTAAGGTATATTGATACATAATGATAAGAGATAATCAAACACTAAACTAAGTGCAAACAATAAAATATTTTAACACACTTTTAACATTTACAACTAGTGACCTAAGTATTACCTGAGGAGTATGTTGTGTCTCATTACATGTACCTGCCTATAGAATTTACATGTTTCCTTCTAATTAAATTAAATTCTTATCTTAGTTCCTTGTATTTATTACTCATATCTCTCATGCTTGATCTTTTATGAAATTAATACTGGTCTACATTTCCTTCTGATAGTATAATTTTAGGCAATCTGAGACCATCAATTGTAAGTTGTTGATTTGAGCTTCGGAAAGCTTAAGATAGTCAGGACCTCAAGTTTTTCTTGCTAAATGATATTTTTTGGCTCTGTTTTCCCACCCAAATCTCACCTTGAATTGTAAGAATTTCCTTGTGTCAAGGGAAGGACCAGGTGGAGGTAATTGAATCATGGGGGCATTTTCCCCCATGCGGTTCTCTGATAGTAAATTAGTTCTCATGAATTCTGATGGTTTTATAAGTATCTGGCATTTCCCCTGGTGGCACTCCTTCTCTCTCCTGATGCCATGTGAAGAAGGATGTGTTTGCTTCCCCTTACACCATGATTGTAAGTTTCCTGAGGCCTCCCCAGCTATGTGGAATTGTGAGTCAATTAAACCTCTTTTCTTTATAAATTACCTAGGCTTAGACAGTTCTTTATAGCAGCACTAGAATGGACTAATACACTAAGCATGTCACAAAGAATATTACATGTCAGAAAAACATGGTGATATGGATTGGCTCTGTGTCCCCATCCAAATCTCATGTTGAACTATGATCTTCAGTGTTGGAGGAGGGACGCTGTGAGAGGTGATTGAATCATGGGAGTGGATTTTCCCCTTGCTGTTCTCATGATAGTGAATAAATTCTCAGAAGATCTGATGGTTGAAAAGTTTGTGGCACTTTCCTCTTTGCTCTCTCTCTCCTACTACATCATGCTAAGACATGCTTGTTCCCCCTTCACCTTCCACCATGATTGTAAGTTTCCTGAGGCCTCCCAGCCATGCTTCCTGTGCAGCTTGTGGAACTGTGAATCAACTAAGCCATGTTTCTTCATAAATTACCCAGTCTCAGGTAGTTCTTTATAGCAGTATGAGAACAGACTAATAGATAAAATTGGCACCACAGAAGTGGGGGCATTGCTGCAAGAATACCTTAAAACTACTTTTAAACTTGATAATGGGCAGAGGTTAAAACAGTTTGGAGGGATCAGAAGACGACAGGAAGATGTGGGAAAGTTTGGAACTGCTTAGAGACTTGTTGAATGGTTCTGATGAAAATGCTGATAATCATATTGACAGTGAAGTCCAGGCTGAGGTGGCCTCAGATGGAGATGAGAAACTTATTGGGATCAGGAGTAAAGGTCACTCTTGTTATGCTTTAGCAAAGAGACTGGAAGCATATGCCCCAGCTGTAGAGATCTGTGGAATTTGAACTTGAGATAGATGATTTAGAGTATCTGGCAGAAAAAATTTCTAAGCAGCAAAGCATTTGAGAGGTTGCCTGGCTGCTTCTAAAAGCCTTATGTTCACTTGCATAAAGAAATAAATGACCTGAAACCAGAATTTATGTGTAAAGTGAAGCAAAACATTAAAGTCTGGTAAATTTGCAGTCTGACCATGAGGTAGAAAAGAAAAAAAAAATTCTGGGGAGGAATTCAACACTCCAGTAAAAAAGAGCCAAATATTAATAGCCATGATAATAGAAAAAACTGCCTCCAGGGCATTTCTGAGACCTTCGCTGTGGCAGCCCCTCCCATGACAGGCCTGGAGAGCTAGGAGAGAAAAATCGTTCTCTGGGCTAGGCCCAGGGCCCTGCTGCTCTGTGCAGCCTTGGGACATGGTACCCTGCATCCCAGCCACTCCAGCTTAAGCCATGTGTAAGTGGCCAAGGCCCAGCTCTGGCCATTGCTTCAGAGGGTACAAGCCCCAAGCCTTGGTGGCTTCCACATGGTGTTTGGCCTGAAGGTACATAGAAGGCAAACGTTGAGGTCTGGGAGCCTCCACCTACAATTCAGAGGATGCAGGAAATCCCTGGATGTCTAAGCAAAACTCTGCTGCAGGAGTGGAGCCCACATTGAGAACATCTACTAGGGCAGTGCAGAGTAGAAATGTGGGGTTGGAGCCCCACAGAGTCCCCACTGGGGCACGGTCTAGTGGAGCATTGAGATCAGGGCCACCATCCTCCAGATCCCAGAATAGTAAATCCACCAGCGGTTTGTACCATGTCCCTGGAAAAGTCCCCAGCACTCAATGCCAGCCCATGAGTGCAGCCATGGGGGCTGTAACCTGCAAAGCCATAGAGGCAGATCTGCCTAAGGTCTTAGGTGCCCACCCCTTGCATCAGTGTGCCCTGGATGTAAAACATGGAGTCAAAAGAAATCATTTTGGAGCTTTAAGATTTAATGACTGCCCTGCTGGATTTCAGACTTACATGAGGCCTATATCCCCTTTGTTTTGGCCATTTGCTCCGTTTTGGAATAGGAGCATTTACCCAATGCCTGTACCCCCATTGTATCTTGGAAGTAACTAACTTGTTTTTTGATTTTACAGGCTCATAGGCGGAAGCAACTAGCCTTGTCTCAGATGAGACTGTAGATTTGGACTTTTGAGCTAATGCTGGAATGAGATAAGAGTTTGGGGGATTGTTGGAAAGACATGATTGTGTTTTGAAATTTGCAAAGGATGTGAGATTTGGAAGGGGTCAGTGGCAGAGTGATATTGTTTGGCTCTGTGGCCCCAGCCAAATCTCATGTTGAACTATGATCATCAGTGTTGGAGGAAGGGCATGGTGGGAGGTGATTGGATCATGGGAGAAGATTTTCCCCTTGCTGTTCTCATTATAGTGAGTGAGTTCTCATGATATCTGATCCTTTACAAGTGTGTCACACTTTCCCTTTTTCTCTGTCTCCTACTTCACCATGATAAGAGGTACTTGCTTCCACTTCGCCTTCTACCTTAATCCTAAATTTCCTGAGGTCTGTCCAGCCATGCTTCCTGTACAGCCTATGGAACTGTGAGTCAATTAAACCTCTTTTCTTCAAAATTAGCCAGTCACAGTTCTTTTTAGTGTGTGAGAATGAACTAATGCAATTGGACAGCAAATGTTTCTGCTCTTCTATGCCTGAAGAAAAGGGGATGTCCCATAATCTAAATAAATATGAAGAGGACTTTGCTTTCCATGTTACCCTGGAATCTCTGTGGAACACTGATAACTTACCTCACAATACAATACTCCAAACTGTTACATACTCAGTAATGCCTTCAAATTGGAGTCATTTCTAAACTAATGGGTCATGCAATTTAAGAAACAATAATAGATAATATTGTTATTTTGGAAAAGCCGTTTCTTTTCTTTTTGGGCTGTCTACACTAAATATTTATTGGAACCAGTGACATATAAAAGACTGGTACTTAGATGTGATCTGTTTCAGTCTTCTTATGATTTAGATGTAAAATGAATTTAACATAAGTATTCAAGGTTTTTGAGCTATTTTTCAGAATCCTGTTGAGATGGTATTGGGCTTCTGAATTCTCTCTGTTGAAAGCTATCTTGTTATATTAGTTTCAAAAATAAAAAGAGAGGCCTGTAATCCCAGCACTTTGGGAGGCCAAGGTGGGTGGATCACAAGGTCAGATTGAGACCATCTTGGCTAACACACGGTGAAACCCCGTCTCCACTAAAAATACAAAAAAAAAAAAAAATAGCTGGGTGTGGTGGTGGGCATCTGTAGTCCCAGCTACTCAGGAGGCTGAGGCAGGAGAGTGGTGTGAACCTGGGAGGCGGAGCTTGCAGTGAGCCAAGGTAGTGCCACTGCACTCCAGCCTGGGTTACAGAGCAAGACTCCATCTCAAAGAGATAAATTAAATTAAATTAAATTAAATAAATAAAAAGAGAGAAACACTAAGTGAAAACAAGAAATACCATGGCTCCAATGCTTGCTGAGATTTATGTTTTTGTTCTGTTCAGTGAGCCTTTGTCATAAATGTATACGTGTGTGTGTGTCAGGGGGGATCTCCAGGTATGAGAAACCAGAGATATATCCTTTCTAGAAAGATAATCTATATAGGCATGCATATATACAAAACAGAGACCTTTGTATGTCATATTAAATTTCAACATACTCTGGTGGGTTATATATTGTTCTTTTATAGATCTCTCAATGAAAAAGTAAACTGAGGAGACAATGATTTATGAGAAAATAATTCTACATTCAGGACTTGCCATTCTATAGAGCTACCAGGGTTTTAAAAGGGTATTTATTGATTTATTAACCTATTGAAGGACATATAGTTGCTTCCAGTTTGGTGCAACTATGAATAAAGCTGGTATATATTCATGTGTAGGTTTTTGCATGAACATAAGTTTTCAAATAAATTGGGTAATGCCTATAGTATGACTGCTGGATTGTATGGTAGGACTGTGTTTAGCTTTGTAAGAAACTGCAAAACTTTCTTCTAAAATGGCTGTAACATTTTGCATTCCCTTCATAGACGTCATGTCATCTGTGAACAGAGATTGTTTTATTTCTTCCATTCCAATATGCATATATTTGCTTTTTTAGTCTTCTTGCATAATCAAGGACAGGGGTTCCCAAGATGGTAATGATCTGTGGCCTGTTAGGAACATGACCACACAGCAGGAGGTGAGTTGTGGGTGAGCGAGCATTACTGCTTGATCTCTGCCTCCTGTCAGATTAGTGGTGGCATTAGATTCTCATAGAAGCACAAACCCTATTGTGAACTGCACATGTGAGCTGTTTTAGTCCGCTCTCACACTGTTATAAAGATACTACCTGAGACTGGGTAGTTTATAAACAAAAAAGGTTTAAGTAATTCACAGTTCTGCATTGCTGGGGAGGCCTCAGGAAATTTACAATCATGGCAAAAGGCAAAGCAGAAGCAAGGCACGTCTTACAAGGCAGCAGGAGAGAGAGAGGATGCAGGGGAAACTGCTACTTTTAAACCATGAGATCTTGTGAGAACTCCCTCACTATTAGGAGAATAGCATGAGGAAATCTACCCCCATGATCCAATCACCTCCTACCAGGTCTCTCCCTTAACATGTGGTGATTACAATTTGAATTGAGATTTGGGTGGCGACACAGTGCTAAACCATATCATGAGGTTTTGCACTCCTTATGAGAATCTAACACCTGATGATCTGAGGTGGAACAGTTTCATCCCCAAAGCATTTCCCCCAGCACTGTCTGTGGAAAAACTGTCTTCCACAAGATCAGTCCTTGGTGCCAAAAGGTTAAGGACTGCTGATCTAGGACTTCAAGTATGATATTGAATAGGAGAAAAGCATACAATGTCTCAAAATTAATTATTATGTTAGCTGTTGGCTTCTTGCTTTTTTTTTCTTAAGAGGTTCTTTATCAAGTAGAAAAAGCTTGTTTCTATCCCTAATTTGCCGAGGGTTTTAATCAACTATGGATGATATTTTAAAGTGCTTTTTCTGCATGAATTTATATAATCATATAATTTTTTTTCTTTATCCCTTTGAAATGGTAGGCTACATCAATTAATTTTTGAATATGAAACCTACCTTACATAAATGAAATAAATCCAACTTGTTTGTGGTATACAAATTTTCTATAGATTTTTTGATATGATATATTATGATTGATATGTTAATATTGGTTGAACATTTTTGCATATATATTTATTAGAGCCATTGCACTATAGATTTCCTCTTTTGTAATACCTTTATCTAGTTTTGGATAGGATAATGCTGGCCTTATAAGAATAAGTAGAAAGTGCTATTTCTGCTTGTGTGTTTTGGGAGTTAATTTGGAGAATAGGTATCATTTCTTATTTAAATATTTTGTAGAATTTACCACTGAAATTTGGAGTTGTTGTTTTATTTATTGGAGAGTTATAATTATTCATTCAATTGCTATAATACATATAGATCTTCCTGGTTATTGATGTTTCCTTGTGTGAGTTTTTATAGTTTGTGTCCTTCAAGAATTTTTATTTCATCTACATTACAAATATATGGGCATATATTTGTGGAAATCATTCCTTTCTTAACCTTTTAAAGTCCACAGGATCAATAGTGATGTCCCTTCTTTGTTTTGATGTAGACAATTTGTTTCTTCTCTCTTCTTTTTGTCAAATTGATTAATTTCTGTATAGATATACCAATTTTATTCATCTTTTTCAATAACCGTTTTAGGTTTTGTTAATGTTCTTTATGATTTTTTTTGAATTCAATTTTATTGATGTCTGCTCCTATTAAGTATTTTGTTATTTTCTACTTGAACTAGGCTTAAATTCTTCTTTTTTTAATAGTTTTATATAATTAAAACTTAGGTCAAGAAGAAATTGTCTAATTTTATTTTGGCTCCAACTCTGAGCATTTGAATTGAATGGCTAAGGCTGTTTTAACCAAGCTAAATTTGACATAGGTAACTTCGCCTAATGCTCCTTAACAACCTGATGGAAAATAATATGTATAGCAACTTAGGCTAAACATTTCATAATTTTATCTGAATAAAGTAAGGTTGTTGTCATGCATCTTTGCAGTTTGGCATTAGTCTCCATATCTTCTTACCCAGTGTGTGCCTCTAGTCCCTTAATTCCTTCATTTCTAGATTATGCTCAGAGGTCTTCAGAGTTAAGCCATGCTTTGGGTTAAATTGCCTATTTGCCAGCAAAAGTACATACTTAAAAAAAAAGAAGAAGATAAAGAGGAGGGGCAATATGTTAGAGGAGAACACTCCAAAGATTGCTCCCCCAAAGAAGGCCTAGGTTCAAACCAAATAAAACTACCTCTTGATATATTATAAATAAACTGTTAAAGATCAAAACAAAAAGTCAGTCCTGAAAACAACAAGATAAAACAAACAAATAACATCAATTTGAATAACCATTCATAAAATACCTTCACAAGAGCTCCAAAAAACCCAGTGAGAGATCCCATTTCCTGGAGTTAGCATAATAAGAAAAGATTCATTAAAGAGGGTCTAAAGAAGAGTTTTACATTAACCATATCACTTCTTCCACAACCATAGGCAGCATAGCACAAAGGAAGATACCATTTGCTTAAAGGAAGCAAAATAAAGTAAGTATAGGACTTTGCCTTGCAACTAAGTACTGTACCCACCCCACTGAAACCCAGCAATGAGCAGATTCCACGGCCCCTGACACCAGAAGGTATCCACATTTGGGGGATCTTGACCTGGCCTAATACCAAACAGGAATCCATGGCCCTGGCTAGATGGACTGGAGATCTATCACACATCACTGCTGGTTAACTACAGCAACCTAAAGCCTTGCATAAGCCATGGTAGAGAACAGGCTGCAGCAGCTGCAGGCCTTAGGTGTGCCACAGTGCTACGTTGTTCTCTGTAGTCATAAACTTTGTGTCTAACCCAGTGCTTTGTCAGCCTCAGTGGCCAAAGGATTCCAGCGCAGTAGTCCTCAGCTTAGGACATCCCCTACTGCTGCAATGGCTGAAGCAATTTGCAGGCTTGAATGCCTAATCAACCAACTTGCATGAAATGTCTGAACAGGTTTACTGCTGAAGAAAGATCCCAACAAAGCCAGAGTAGGAAGACTGGATTAGGTGCCTATGTCAATGTGCAGACATTGACACACTGCCACAATGATCCAGATTAATTTTAAAAACATGATGTCACTAAGTAGACAAAAGAAGTTGTCAGTGACTGACCCTGAATGGGCAGTGAGAGAGCATCTTGATGAATAATTCAAAATAGCAGCTTTAAGGAGGCCCAGCAAATTTCATTCAAAATACAAGGAAATATTTGAGATATTTATCAGATAAATTTAACAGAAAGATTGACATATTTTAAAAAAAAATTAAACAGAAATCCTGGAACTGAAAAATACAATAAAATAAATTTCAAAAGAGAGCATAAACAACAGAATTGATCAAGTAGAGGAAACAATCTGTGAACTTGAAGGTAGGTTAATTGAAAATATACACTCAAAGGAGAAAAAAGAAAAATGAATACAAAGTAATGAAAAAAACTTATGAGATTTATGAGACAAAGTCAAAAGTGCAAATGAATAAGTAATTGATGTTCAAGAGTGTGTTGAAAAAGGAAAAAGGATAGAAAATTTATTTCAAGAAATAATAAAGGAAAAAATTCCCAAACCTAGAGGAAGATATAAATATCCAGATACAGGAAGCCTATGTCTCTAATTAGATTCCAATCAAATAAAACTTCCCCTTGATGTATTATAATTAAACTGTTAAAGATGAAAGATGAAAAGTCAATCCTGAAAACAGCAAGAGAAAACAAACAAATAACATATAAGATGGTACCAATACATCTAACATCAGAATTCTCAGCAGAAATTCTACGGATAAGGAGAGAGTAGGAAAACATATTCAGTCTAGAAAATAAAAAAGCACAAAACTACCAATAAAGAATATTACTATATCCAGCAAATCTGTTCTTCAGAAATGGAGAAATGAAGACTTTTCAGTTTAAAATACAAAACCATTAAAATAATTACAATAATTTGTTAGGAAATATACAATATAAAAAGATATAAATTGTGACATTAAAAATGCAAAATGTAGACAGGAAGAAAAGATAGAGTAGACTTTTTTCCCAATCATTTTTTTCTTATTTTTTGTAATCAAAGTTAAGTTCTTGTCAGTTAAAATAACCTGCTATAACTGTAACTTACTTTTTGAAAACCTTATGGTAACCCACCAAAAAAAGGCTATAAAAGATGCACTTGAAAAGAAACAAATTAAAGCATACTACTAGAGAAAATCATTTAATCTCAAAGGTAGATAGTAAGAGCAAAGTAAAGAAGAAAGAATCTGTAAAACAACTAGAAAAGAATAAACAAAATGGCAGTAGTAAGTCCTTACCTACTAATAATTACCCTAAATATAATTGGATTAAATTCTCCAATTAAAAGACATGGAGTTTGAGAAACATTCCAGGACATTGGTCTGGGCAAAGATTCATTTAATAAGAACTCAAAAACACATGCAACCAAAGCAAAAATGAACAAATGGGATCATATCAAGCTAGAAAACTGCACAGCAAAGGACACAATCAATAAGGAGAAGAGACAAACCTCCAAATGAGAGAAAATATTTCCAAACTACCTATCTGAAAAGGGATTAAGAACCACAATATATAAGAAGTTTGAACAACTCAATAGAAAAAATAAGTTAATTAAAAATGGACAAAAGCTCTAAAAACACATTTTTCAAAAGAAAACATGCAAATAGCAAACAGATATATACAAATGCTCAACATCACTAATTATTAGAGAAATGAAAATTAAAACCACGGTGAGATATCATCTTGTCCAAATTAAAATGGCTTTTGTCCAAAAGACAGGGAATAACAGAGGCTGATGAGGATGCGAAGAAAAGGGACCCCTCATATACTGTAGGTAGGAATATAAACTAGTACAGCCACTATGGAGAAGAGCATGTAGGTTTTCAAAAACAAAAAAATCAAACTACCATATGATCTAGAAATATCAATGCTGGGTATATATCCAAAAGAAAGGAAATCAATATATCAAAGAGATATCAGTACTCCCGTGTTTATTTCAGCGCCATTAACAAGATATGGAATCAACTTAAGTGTATGTTAATGAATAAATGAATTAAGAAAATGTGGTACATATACCTAATAAAATATTATACTGCTATAAAAAACAATGAGATTCTGTCATTTGCAACAGAATAGATGGAATCAGAGGACATTATTTAAGTGAAATAAGCCAGGCACTGAAAGACAAGTATCACATATTCTCACTCATATGTGCAAACAAAAAAATTTAACTCATGAAGTTAGAAAGTAGAATAATGATTACCGGAGGCTAGAAAGGGTAGTGGGGAGGTAGGTGATAAAAAGGGGAAGAGGCAATGATTAATGGGCATAAAAATACAGTTTTTTGAGACAAATAAAAATGGTAATACAACATAACAAAACCTATGAGATACAGCAAAAGCAGTTCTTAGAGGAAAGTTTACGGCAATGCCTTAGTCCATTTGCTTTGCTATAAAGGAATACTGTAGGGTGAATTATTTATAAAGAAAAAAGTTTCATTTAACTCATTGTTCTGTGGGATGTACAAAAACCATGGCATCAGCATCTGCTTATGGTGAGGAATTCAGGGCACTTCCACTAATGGTGAAAAATGAAAAGGAGATGCATAAGGAGCTGCATATCACATGGCAAGGCAGGAAGAGAGAGAATATGAAAGTGCCAGACCCTTTTTAACAGCTAAATCTCAAGGGAACTAAGAGTAAAAACTCACTCAATCTTAGGAGAATAGCACCAACCTTTTCATGAGAGACCTGTCCCCAAGACACATCACCTCTTGCTGGGTCCCATCTTCAACATTGGGGATCAAATTTTTACATGAGATTTGGAAGGGACAAAGATCCAAATAATATCAAGCAATAAATGTCTACAAAAGAAGAAGGATCTCAAATAAAATACCTAATATTGCACCTCAAGGAACTAACAAAAAAGAACAAACTAAACACAAATAGAAGAAATAATACCAGAGCATAAAAAAACATAAACTAAAGAAACAAAACTAAGAAATCAACAAAACAAAGAGCTACTTTTTGAAAAGATAAAATTGACAAACCTTTAGCTAGACTACTGGAAAAAAAGAAGACACAAATAAAATCAGAATGAAGGCTGGACACGGTGGCTCACACCTGTAATTCTAGCACTTTGGGATGCCAAGGTGGGCAGATCACCTCAGATCGGGAGTTCAAGACCAGCCTGACCAACATGGAGAAACCCAGTTTCTACTAAAAATACAAAATTAGCCGGGCATGGCAGCACATGTGGTGGCCTGTATTCCCAGCTACTTGGGAGGCTGAGGGAGGAGAATCGCTTGAACCTGGGAGGCGGAAGTCGTAGTGAGCCAATATTGTGCCATTGCACTCCACCCTGGGCAACAAGAGTGAAACTCCATCTAAAAAAATTTTAAAAATAAGAATGAAAATGGTTATATTACATCTGGTATCACAGAATTACAAAGGATTGTAGGACACTATTATGAACAACTATATGCCAACAAATTGAGAACCTAGAAGAAATGGATAAATTCCCAGACGTATACAACCCACTAAATTGAATCATGAAGAATTAGAAATGCTGAACAGACCAGTAATAAGTAATTAAATTAAATCAATAATAAAAAGTCTTTCACCAAAGAAAAGCTCAGGACCTGAGGGCTTTACTTCTGAATTGTACCAGACACTTAGAGAATAATGAATATCTGTATTTATCAAACTGTTATAAAAAATTGAAGAGAAGAGAATTCTTCCAAACTCATTTATGGAGCCAAAATTATCTTGATATCAAAACCAGAGAAGACCACAACAACAACAACAACAACAACAAAACTTCAGCTCAATATTTCCAATGAATTATTTGCCGAAATCCTCCACAGTACACTAGCAAACCACATTCAATAGCACATTAAAAAGATCATTTACCATGATTATGTGAAATTCATCCCAGGGATATAAGAATAGTTCATCATATGCAAATCAATACATGTAACACATCACATTAATCTAATTAAGGGCAAAAATCATATCAATAGATACAGAAAAATCAATTAATAAATTTCAGCATCCATTCATGATAAAAACTTTCATCAAACAAGGTATAGAAGGAATGAACCTCAATACATGGAAAGCCATATATGACAAACCCAGCGCTGAATGGGGAAAAGTTAAAAACATTTTTTTTAAGGTCTGGAACAAGACAAGAATGTCCACTTCTACCGCTTTAATTCAAGATAGTACTGGAAATCCTAGCCAGAAAAATTAGGCAAAAAAGTAAATAAATGCCATCTAAATTTAAAAGGAGGAAGTCAAGTTATCTCTATTTTAGATGACATAATCTTATATCTGAAAACATTAAAAACTCCACAAAGTAACTTCTATAACTGAGTATATCTAGTAAACTTATGGGGTATGAAATTAACATACAAAAATCAGTAGCATTTCTACATACTGAAAACAAACTATCAGAAAAAGAAATCAAGAAAGCAATCTTATTTACAATAGAAAAAAAAGTAAGATGCCTAAGAATAAATTTAACCAAGAGAGTAAGAGATGTCTACAATGAAACCTATAAAACATAGTGAAAGACATTGAAGAAAACACAAATAAATGGAAAGATAGCTCATGTTCATTGATTGGAAGAATTATCATTATTAAAATGTTCATATTACCCAATAAGGCTACAAATTCAATGTAATCCCTACCAAAATATCAGGGATATTCTTCAAAGATATAGGAAAAAAAACACCTTAAAATTTGTGTAGATCCACAAAAGACTCCAAATAGCCAAATACATTTTGAGCAGAAAGAACAGAACTGGTGGTGTCACTCTAACTGACTTCAAAATATACTACAAAGCCATAGTAACCAAAGAGCATGATACTGGCATACAGACACATGGGCCAATGAAACATTGTGTCACAGAAATAAATCCATACACTTAAAGTCACCTGATTCTCAACAAAGGTGTTAATAATACACATTGGGAAATTGTCAGTCTCTTCATTAAAGGATGCTAGAAGAACTGTATATTCACATGCTGTGTGATTAAGCTAGACCCCATCTCTAGCCATATACAAAAAAAAAAACTCAAAGCAGATTAAAGACTTAAATGTAAGATCCAAAATAATAAAACCTCTTGAAGAAATCATAGGGGAAATGCTTAATGGCATTGCTCTGTGCAATGACTTTTTCAGATAAGATTTCAAAACCACAGACAACAAAAACAAAATTAGACAAATAAAATTACATCAAACTAAGAAAGCTTCTGTACAGCAAAGGAAACAGTCAGTAGAATGAATATATAAACTGTAGAATAGAAGAAAATATTTGCAAGCTATGCTTATTAACCCCAAATATATAAGGAACTGAAATAACTCAATAGCAAAAACAAAGAATCCAATTTAAAAATGTTCCAAAGAACTGAATAGACATTTCTCAAAAGAAGAAATACAAATGGCCAACAAACAGGTACATGAAAAAATGCATGACATCACTAGTCATTGGGAAAATGCTAATTAAAACCACAGTGTGATAGCACCTCACCCTAATTAGAATAACTATTGTTAAAAGGATAGAAAAATATACACAAAAACAAATGCTGGCATGAATGTGGAGAAAGAGGAACACTACAATACTCTTGGCAGGACTGTAAGTTACTACCATCATTTTGAAAAACAGTAGTTGCTCAAAAAACTAATAATAGAACTAACATATGATCTAGCAATTCCATTACTGGGTATATATCCAAAGGAAATACAATTAGTATGTAAAAGAGATGTCTTCCACCCCATGTTTCTTGTGGTTGTATTTGCAATAGCCAAGATATGGACTAAACCTAAGTGTCCATCAACAGATAAATGGATAACAAAAATATGGTGAATATACACAAGGGAGTACTGTTTAGCCATAAAAAATGAAATCTCGTCATATTTGCAACATGAATGAACCTGGAGGATGTTATGTTAAATAAATAAGCCAGGCACAGCAAAACCAAAAACGCACGATCTCATTCTTGTGTGGAATCTAAAGAAATTAATCTCATAGAGTAGAGTTAGAATAGTGATTAGCAGAGCCTGGAAAGGGAAGAAAAGAGGCACACATAGGGAGAGATTGGTCAACGGGTACAAAATTAAAATTAGGAGGAAAATATTTTAGTGTTCTACTACACAGTGGGGTGACTATAGTTAACAATATTATATTATATATTTCAAAGTAGCCAGGAGAGAGAATTTGAGTGTTCTCACCACAAAGAAATAATAAATGTTTGAGGTGATGGATATACTAAACATCCTGATTTGATTATTACACAATGTATACATATATTGAAACATCACACTGTATGCTATAAATATGTACAATTATGCATTATTTAAAATACAGAAATAATTTTTAAGAAGATTCTCAGAAAAAATTGTATTATTTTTAAGTTAATTTAATTTTGTATTAATCTGATATAGCATTAGGCTATATTTCAAATAAGATTAATGGCCTCAACATTAAAAAATAATTCTAGAAAGGAAAAATAATATTTGAGCAAATTTTTTATTTTAGATGAAGAGAATTTCTGTAAAAGAACCTCTTGTTTGATATTATAGTGAAACCAGTCATCACCACTTTGAAAGTCCTTCCTAACATGTTGGGAGGCAATTCTCATGGATAGCTTTCATTTCTGTATTTCTAGCAATCAGAGGTACTGACAGTTGTTTGTTCTGGACTATCTTTTCAAGGATATTTGCCTTGGAAGATAAAAATAGTGTCTCTGAAGCAGAGGTGAATCAATCCTACCTATCATCTATCTATCTGTCTATCTATCTATCTATCTATCTATCTAATCAATCATCTACCTATCATCTATCTATCTAACTATCTAATCAATCATCTACCTATCATCTATCTATCTAACTATCTGTTTGTCTGTCTTTCTATTATCTATCTTCTCTCCATGGAAAAGTTTGCACAGGTGGTGGGAAGGTTTGTTTGCAGCTCAACAAAGGGATTAGAAAGGAGGCAACCCACTAAGAAATAGCATATGCATCAATGGAATTACGTGTTCCTTGAAAGTCTAGTTGTGCTCATTTGTATAACATTTATTATTTATGTATAATATATACACAAATCAAGATGACTTTATCTGTAGGTAAATACATTACATGGTTACATTTCTTAGCATGGATTAGTAAGTATACGTTATTTTATATTATGGCAATTTTTTAAAGTGCTCAATAATTAGCAAAAATAATTATAAAGAAGAAAATTTTATATACATTTTGAACTTACTCATTTCTACAGAGATGATAGCATATTGCAATTTTGAAGTTATATGCTGATTCTCCTTTAGCTTTATTTAGTTAAAAATCAATACTTTTTGGAAATCACTTTGTCTCGCAAATATCTTAATGTCTGAGCTATGTAACTCATTTAAAAGGATAATGACTTTACTTAGAATCAATTTTTATTGTCTGCCATATAATTTAGGGAAGTCTACAAACAATCTCAATTACAAAAGGTAAAAAAAGCAGCTGTGTTTTACCATGTTAGCTTTTTGACATTCAACAACTGATTCTGCAGGACAAATTTGCATTAGCAACCAACTCAATAGGCAGAATGTTACCTGAAAACTATTTTCTTAGCATTCCACAGGGGATTATCAGCTTTGACCTAGCTATCCACCTTGTTGTTTTGCATGTAGAGCTATTCATAACTCCTCCAATTCATAAAAAGTAGAGTGTGTGTGTGTTTCTGTGTGTGTGTGTGTGTGTGTGATTTACATGATGCCTCTATTTTCAAAGATAGCACAAACACTTTTGGTTACAGTTTTGCTGTTGAAATGGCCCCTTTATTTTCAATTAGTCATTTAAATCCTACAGCTGCTTTTGTAGAATTTCCTCCTTGATAATTTGATTTCTGTAAAGACATTTGAGTAGACCCCAGGGTCATACTGCCTTACTTTTATTTCTATTTTTCTATCATTATCCTCCACCTACTTCAATACCATATTATTTTTAAACATTTATTCATACTGAGGAAATTTAAATATGTATAAACTATGTCCAGTTCACAGGTACACATGGCAGATATGTGGAACTTAGTACAAGAAGACTTTTGTTTTGGTCATAATTATTTTTATGTAATTGACATACTCTGTGCATTCTGTATGCCCAGGACAGTACTGCTAGTGTAATGTTTCTGAAATACAAATTGAATTGTTCTACTACTGAAAAAGCTCTGAAGAAATGACACACTAGCTGCAATGAGCATATACAGCATGTAGGTACTGGTTTCTAAATACCCTCCTCCTCCAAAGGAACAAAGCTTCCAAGCAATAAAAGGTCCTAAATTAACAAGTGTTGAAAATGAACACTGGTATTTAAGAGTTTCAAAATGGAAAGAAATCTAATCCCAAAGATCACATGAAGGATGTAGAGATAAGATTCTTTCTTAAGAACTCTAAATATTTAAGGCTATGCACGGTAGAAACTCAGTGACCCAAAAAACACATCTAAGAATATTAAGAGCATTCTCACAATAGCCTGTCATGTTGACTAACATAGAGATACTTGTCTCAAAGAGAATCATAGGGTAAACTTTTGTCAAATGGACTTAACTATTTTTTTATAAATAGAAGCCCTGTATTTTAAGGGGGACATATCAGCAGAGCACCACTAGCAGTTGATGCAAAGAACCTGAGACTTTTTAAATTTTCAAAATGCTATTTGGCTTCCAAATTTCTAAGGCAGGAAGCAGTCTCATTGGGAAGACCTGGGAAAAGAAACCATTTTATTTTCTAACCTAGCAAGTACTGTCTCTGGCACTTTCAACATTCTACCTGAAAATCATCTTAGCAAGATATATAAGTACATTAAATACATATTCTGTCTTCAAAATTCACGAAGGCAAGAATTTTGCCAATATATTTACACTATTATATGACACAGGTTATGTTTCCAGCATACTGTATCAGTTTCTTTCTGAGTTTTCCACCCTCTGCTAATGCTGTGCTTGCCTTTTTTCCAGTCTTTGGCAACAGTATTTTTCATTGCTTTTACAGACACTGCATGCTGATCAGTGCCAATTTAGCTTATGATTCCTGTATGTTCTATATTTAGCTTATGATTCTATATGTTCTATATTTGGCTTATGATTCTATATATTGACTGATTAGATCTTTGGATCTGTGACAGGTAAGCTAGTGGCTCCATAGTCTGTGATGGCATTATTCACATCTGGTGGTTGATATTTTTTCACTTGCAATGACAAGGGCAATTGGGCCATCTATCTCTTCATACGTATAGCACATCATCCAGTAGACTACACTGAGCTTTGACACATGGCAGCCGTGTTCCAAGAATAGCAAGAATTTAAGTCCCTATGTGCAAGTGCTTTTACAAGCTTCTGTATGTGTGACATTTGCTTATACAAACTTGGTCAAGGCAAATAATAAGGCACTCAGTATACGAGGGAATTATTAAATGGGATATATAAAGAAAGAAATAATTCATTTGCATTTTTACAATATATGCAATTTCATAATCTACAAATACTATTTTTATTAATTTTCTGATTAAAATTTTGTTAACATTTTTTCATTTTTCTCTTACATGAAGAGTGTCATTTTACTATGACTGATTGTAAGATTTTATCTTTATCTTTGTATTTCAGCATTTTGGCTATCAAGTGTCTATCTGCAGTTATCTCTGTATTAATTCTGTTGGTGTTTGCTGAGGTTCTTGGCTTCATGGATTTAATACTTTCATGAATTTACAAAATTATTAGCCACTATTTCTTAAATATTGTCCTCTGTCTCAGACATTTTCTGCTGTTCATCTAGTATTTGATTTAGATATATGTCAAATGGCTCAATCCTTTCCCACATGCTGTTAAAGCTCGCTTTCACATTTTCAGTCTATTTGTAAATCCATTTGCATAATTTCTATTGCCTTGTCCTTCGGTACACAGATATTTTACTATGCATTGTCTAATTTCCTATTAAACCCATTCATTAAAATGTTGGTTTCAGGTATTGCATATTTTCAGGTTTAGAATTTTAATTTTATACATTTTTTTGACAGTTTTCATTATTCTCCTGACATTTTCCACCATGTGGAAACTCTGACCTCTTAGTCCTCAGCCCATTAAATTAGCGTCCTCCTACTTGAGCTCTTACCCTCCATTAGCTTTGTGGACTGTGGAGTTCCTTTAAGGGAAAAGTAAGATAAATGTATATTTCTGTGTTCCCCTGGTTTCAAGAGCCATTTCACCTCCAGTTTCTGCCTGCTTTGTTTGCTTCCCAGTGTCTTCAAAGAGTTGTTAGTGCATTTGATTCTTTTCCAAAGTTTCTACTTGTTAGAGGCAGAAGGGTAAATCTGATATAAGGTTCTTTTGGAAGCTACAAGGTTAGGGACGAATGTATTTAATTTCTACCAAATTATGGAATATTAATTTATTGCATTTAACTGATATAAAGAAATCTTATAGGAAAATGTTGGCCCATTTTATAGGGGAATGTGATGGTTAAGCCCATCTTCATTGGGCTACAGATGCCCAGATATCTGTTTTAAATATTATTTCTGAATGTGCCTGTGAGGGTGTTTTTAGGAGATATCAACATTTTAATTGATGGAGTAAGTAAAATAGATTGCCCTCCCTAAGGTAAGTGGGCATCTTTTAATCTTTTGAAGGCCAGGGATAGAACAAAAAAGTGGAAGAAGGCAGAATTCTGTCTCTCTGCTGGAATGCATAACCTGAGACATCAGTCTCCTTCTGCCCTTGGACTAAGACTTACACTATCAGTGATCCTGCTTCACAAGCATTCAGACTCAGACTGGAATTTAAACCACTGGCTTTCCTGGGACTCCAATTTGCAGATGATAGATAGCAGAAATTCTCAACCCCCATAATTGTGTGAAACAACTCCTTATAATAAGTTGTGAGGTTTATTCTTTCTCTGTCTCTCTCTTCTCTCTCTCTTTCTCTCTCTCTCTGTCTCTCTCTATGTATGTATTCCTATCATTAAATGTTGCTAAATTTTTTTGTAGAAAGAATTTATGAATTTACATTATTCAATAGCAGCATAATGACAGTTTCACCACATGCTCATTACATTAAATATTGTCATTACATTACTCTTTTCAGAGATGGTAGATTAAATTATCATTGTAAATAAAAATTGGTTTGATGTTCAATTTTATTTATTTTATTATTAATAACGTGAGGCTGCACTAGCCTTCATTTTCTATGGATTGTCATTTGGCTAGTAGGTTTTCTGAGAGAGTAAAAACTGATTGGCCAAACCAGTTATTTCATTCATATATTTGTGTTGGACAAATCATGTAGTTTTTATCTTGTCAAAATTGTAAAAGTTTCATAATCAGCCCAGCTGACAGCATTTCAGCTTGGGATTCTAAGAAGGCATTTTATGGTGGGAAATCATTCAGCACTTCTAACCTGACAGCTGCCATTAGGTCATATGATTGGAACAAAAAACTGACAGAGTGATGAAGCAAGACCAAAACTGCTAAAATAGTTACTCATATTTCCACACTTGGTTAAACACAGTAAAATGGAAGCAATGCTTTTGATAGAAAGTGTGCAAAAAAGAAGACATAATGTGATATTTTAACTACCAGATAGGGTTGAATTTGCAGAGGACAATTATTTTTCTCATGAATTATACTTCACATTTGGTTAGTTGCCAGTATATTACAGGAAGCTTTAGGTTGCAGAATACGGATCAGGGAAATGAGCACAGTTCTAGGTAAAAGCAGCTGAAATAATATTAAAGTAACTCTTTATCCTTAGTTTCATTAACATTAAATTGTAATTACTTTAATTCAATGACAAAATGCTGAACACCCATGTGTCCAGCATTTTTGCCCAGAGGTTTTCTGTGTGTGTCTTAATTCAATCTACACAATTGGGTAATTATCATTCTTATCACTATTATTAGTGTCTATGTGCAAGGAAAGAAACTGAGGCCCTAAAGTGCATAGTCACCACAGTCACACAGATGATGTAAGTTCAGGATTGCGTCTTGGATCAGTAGCTTTTAAATTAGAAACCAATAACAATTTTATTGTGTATCACTAATAAAAATATATAGAAATACAACTCTGTAGATGTAGACCGAAGCTGTTTCACATTTTAGTATGTGGCTGTCCTTGAACTTTTCCCATATGTATGTATGTATAATTATATTAATTATATGAATGTGTCCCCTTCAAAATTCAGGTGTTGCCAAATTGATAGTATTAAGAGATGGGGCTTTTTGTTTTTTTTGTTTTGTTTTGTTTTGTTTTGAGACAGAGTCTCGCTTCTGTCACCAGGCTGGAGTGCAGTGGCTCGATCTCAGCTCACTGCAACCTCTGCCTCCCAGGTTCAAGTGATTTTCCTGCCTCAGCCTCCCAAGTAGCTGGGACTACAGGTGCATGCCACCATGCCCAGATAATTTTTTTTTTTTGTATTTTTAGTAGATGGGATTTCACCATGTTGGCCAGGATGGTCTCGATCTCTTGGCCTTGTGATCCACCTGCCTCGGCCTTCCAAAGTGCGTGAGCCACTGCGCCCCGCTGAGGTGGGGCTTTTAAGACATGATTAGGCCAACAGCACTCCTACATTGTGAATGAGATTAAAGCCCTTATAAATGAGGCTTCATGCAGCATTCAGTTTAGTTTGTTCTTCCACCTGCCTCTTGAAGGCACAGCATTTCTCCCCTCAGAATAATGCAGCCTTTACAAGATAAACAAATCTCCTGCAGGCACATTGATCTTGGACTTCCTAGCCCCCAGAACAGTGAGATATAAATGCCTGTTTTTTATAAATAACCAAGTCTCATATTAAGTATTTTGTAATAGCAGCACAAACGGATGAAGGCCATTTACATAGATATGTATAACTTAAATGTGTATATGCATTTGTAAATTAATGATGGCAGTGGCAGCCAGTTGGAGCAGCAGTAATGAAGACACCAGATGCAGCAGGAAGGTGTAGCCAGGACTGAGTGCTCCATGGAGCAGTCAGGGTCTGGAAACACGTGGGAACCCTGCCGCCTACTGAGTTGGTGGGATGGGAGCCCCATGCTCCCGGGTACAGCTGAAGCCAGCCAGCTGCAGTTCCAGACTCGGGCATCCCTGCAGTCTTAGGGGCCCAGGAAGCTCCTGCAGGCTCAGAAGTGGGGAAAGGCAGGCTTCCTGGGCCACTGAGAAGGGGCTCTGCTCCTGCTCTCTGGCCTCTCCCTGCTCCAGGCACCTGCTATGATTTTGGAGCAAAGTGGAAGCTGAGCCCAGGCACTGTCATGACCCAGCCAGGTGTGTGCACACTTGGAGTATCACTGACATGCTAGACCCCTGCTGACTTTACCCTCTCCAGACTTTGGGTGCTGACAATCATGGGAGGGATGCTCAGGGTGCTGAGGGTGGCTTGGCATGGGCCTGCAGGCGCTCCTTGGCATGAATAGCCTGGGTGCTGTGTACAGCATGTTGATGGTGACGGGAGACAGACAGGTTCCTGGGTGGAGAAGAGAGGGTGCCCAGTGAAGCCCCATCTTCAAGGTAAGTATGACCTGAAGTCTAGGGGACAGGCTGCCAGTTCTGGGTGGAGTCTGCAGCCCAGAGTGAGAATTTATGGTACTTCTTCCTGGCCTGCGCATGGCTGCCCATGAATCAATCAGCACATGTCCTCCCTTCTGAGCCCATAAAAACCCCAGACACAGCCAGATTCACACAGACATTGGGACTAACAGTTGTGGGAAAGAGCTTCCCACTTTGCGTCTCCTGGACATGTCAGGATGACCTGCCTGCAGAAAGGAGCTAGCTACCCACTATGGGTCTCCTCTCTACCAAGAGTTGGACACTCATCGGCACAACCTGTCTGCAGAAAGGAGCTACTCAATTTGAGTCTCTGGAGAGCCGTTCTGTCAATAAAGCTCCTCTCTGCCTTGCTCATGCTCCAGTTGTCCACATACTGATTATTTCTAGACATGGGACAGGAACTCAGGACCTGCCAAATGGGGGACTGGTAGAGTTGTAACACAAACAGGGCTGAAACACGCTACCCCCACCCCCACTTGCCACACTGTGGGCGACAAGAAGAAGAGAAGAGCTGTGGCCCTTTGGGGAGCCCAGATATAGAGAGTCTCTGAGCTAAGACTATGAAACCCTCTTTGGGGGTCTGCAGTTTCTGCCATCTCAAAGCTTCTGGGTACCACCACGTTCCCTTCACCCTGATGCAGGTGCCCATAGCAGAAGCCACTTGTGGTGCGTCTGATCCAGCTGCAGGCTTGCATGGAGCTGGCACCTGTGCCAGTGCCTGGAGCTGCCTGCCCCTCCACAGCAGCCAGTGTGCCTGGTTGTCCACAGTGGCCAGACCCCGTGCTCATTTGCTCACACACTCCTCACTGCTCCACACCTGTCTTGCCCTTGGCAGGCATGGGATCCAAGCCAGTAGTGCAAGCCAAGCACAGCTTACTAGGCTGAGTGGATGGAACAAGCCCAGTGGGCCTGAGCAAAACTCGAGCAAAGGCTTCACTGGCCACAGAGGTTTCCAGCTGGAAAAGTGACACCCTGAGGATCTTGTGGAAGTGTGGTGGTTTTCATCACATACATGTATATGAAGGTATTAATGTCACAGGATTTTACTTATCTCAAATTCTCCTAGGTCTCTTAAGCTATCATTATTAAACTCATTGACACAAATAACAACACATTTGGAAAAATATCCAATTTTGAATGGCTTAGAAGCCTTCATCTGCATTACTACATGACTATAGTTCTCTTTCCCCAAAATATCTGAGGGCCCTAGAGGAAGTCTCTCTTGTCCTCAGAAATGACTTTGCAGGTGCCAAGTACTACTGTTCCCTAGCCTGCATCCCCAGAGAATCTTCAAGCTTTTTAGGGCACTCTGCCTTCTCTGCTCACTATGATTGTTGCTTACTCTTCACCTCTTAAAGTGAAGACGTCTTCAAGTAACAAACAGACCTATATTTTCTTCAATACTTTCTGCTTTACCAAAGTTGTGTAATTTTACACTTATTATATTAAAATGTTCTGCTTTCTTCAGTTTCCTCTTTCTTTAGACATTCTATATTTTCCTTACCATGAACATAAATATTATTACTCTTATATTTTCTCCTTTTCCTCTCCATTTCCTCCATCACCCAATCTTTTAAAATGTTATTATTTATCTTAGTTTTTACCTTTGTGCTAATTCAATATTCAAAAAATTTCCCAGTAGTTTTTTTTCTTTCAACTTAAAATATCTTTTATTTTTAGCCATTATACATCAGGCAATTTGTGAGCTATTGTACTTAATATCATCTCTCCCACTTTCATACTTTGTAAGTTACATTATTCATCTATTTAAGACTATGTAATATTTTTGTTCTATCCTACCAATCTTATGGTTACTATTGTTGTTTTTCTTACTTTTAGATCTACATTTAAATACACCCATTGCTTATTATTACCAGTATTTTACCAAAGTTTTTCTTGTCATACTTTGATTAATTACAATTTGGTCTCTAATAAGTTTTATTAGCAATAACTCATGAGAATTATATTCTTCAAGCTCTTCTATTTTAAAAGTGGTTTGTCAGTAGCTTTATCACTTGAAGGTTAATTTTGTTTGAAGGTTAATTTTGTTTAATTTCCCTGGCTCACACAGTCTTTGTTGTTCATCTTTCTCATGTTTCAGCACTGTGAGGATGTCTGAGACTAGTCAGATTTTTTAATCCCTAAAAGGCAAGCCACCATGTAGCCTGGTGTATGACTGATGTTCATCATAATTATGAATAACATGCAATATTATTGTCAAAAAGATGAAAAATAATATGATTAGTATAGGTACTTTACTTATTTTGCCAAAAGTCTGTTTGTTTGATTTTTTACTCAGATAATTTTTCTTAAATTAAGGTATAAATAACATTACTGACATATTTTCTACTGTGTACTATTCTGGGTCTCATTTGGTAAGGATAAGCCTACGTTATGCTGCATTTTCAAGTTTATCCTATAGCTTTTGTATGTTTTATATTGAGATTATCACTAAATATTTTTATACTTTTTACTATTTTAATTTTTTTCTTCTACAACATTGTACAACTGTTGTTTGTAAAAATAAAAATATTTATCTTTGTAAAATAATTTTGTTTCCTTCTATGTTATTTAATGTCTGTATTTTGTGTGTTAGCATTTTTTGTGTTTTTCAGATGCACATAATATGGAATGCAAGTAGAGATAGTTTTATCCATTTTCCAATTATTATGCCTCAAGTTTTTCTCCTTAATAATCACACTAGCTAATATACAATGCAGTATTCAATTACAGTAAACAGTCAACTCTTTGCCTTTTTCTTGACTTAGTGGAACCGTGATGGTTAATTATGTGTTAACTGTCCAGGCCTTGATATCACGATATTTTGCCAAACACTAGTCAAGACACTGCTGTGATTATTATTTAAAAGAAGATTGACATTTCAACTGGTAGACTCTAAGTAGATTACCCTCTATAATGTGGGTGGTGGGTAAGCCTCATCCAATCTATTAAAGGCCTTAATGAAAGCACTCACACATACAAACTGAAGTTTCTCTAGAAAGAAGGAATTCTATGTGAAGTCAGTCTTCAGACTCAATCTGCAAAAATCAGCTTTTCCATATATCTCCAGCATGCCAGCCTACTCTGCAGATTTTGAACTTGCCAAACCCCACAATCACATAAACCTATTCCTACAAATAAATCTGTCTCTCCTTCTCTCTCTCTGTGTGTTCGTATAGATATATGTGTGAGTATAGATATATCTATCTGTATTTACATATGTGTGTGTGTGTATATATATACATACATACAGATATATCTACATGTACCCATATACATATGTGTGTATGCATACACAATACACATATACATACATGAATGTGTATATATACACATATATATACATATGGTAGTTAAAGCAAGAGAAAGGTAATAAAATCTAAACAGGAAATACATACCTAGACTAGGACTGGAGAATGGTTGACAAGTAAATCTGCCTAAGGAATACAGATATATCTCTTGGAATTAGCAACATGTAATTATGTATTAGCAAAATGTATATGTGTATACATACACATACGTGTTTGTGTGTATACATACACATATGTGTTTGTGTATACACATAGACACACACACATATATATATAGTAGAGGGTAAGGTACTCACACACACACACACACAGACATTTATATAGAAGAGGGTAAGGTAAAGTGCAAGAAAGGTAGTAAAATCTAAATAGGAAAACATTCACCAAGACTAGGACTGGCGAATTGTTGACAAGTAAATCTTCCTAAAGAATATGGATGTATCCCTTGGAATTGACAAAATGTAAAGGGACCCACTGCGGAGGAAACTCAATTATCTAGCAGATATGTATGACTAATTTAGTTGGTATCAGTCAATGTCTTTTCTCAACCACCTAATGTTTGCTCCCTGGGCTTAAAAAATTTGGAAAGAAGATGAGAGGCAAAACCCATATTTGTATTCTGGCTACTGAAAGCAAATGAATGGGTTTCAGCAGATGTGAGATTTTGCATAAACAATTTTTTTTGTAAATTACCTGACTTAGTGATTGAATCTGCTGAGATCATCACTTATCATCCCCTAAAATGTACCTGTAAATCAGAGATGTAATAGCAGTTTTTACATTTATGTCTTCTGTCTTTCAGTCTCCTGAAAACAAGTGAATTCTTGTAATAAATAATTTTCTGTTTGAAATATTTGGAATAGGTATTGTATTTGTGACTGATCCACGTCTGATTTATATCCTTATCTATAGTGATATATAGATATAAATATATATGTATATTGTTTAAAGATCTCTATATATATATATAAACTTGATCTATGACATCTAGAACAGTGCTAGATTCATATTAGATACTTAAAATTATTGTTTGACTCTTTGACTCACCAGAAAAATGCCCAAGACAATGAAACAAGCAACATACTACGTATCTGCTAAATACCTTTGAGTTGTAAATCAAAAGTTTCCAAACTCTCTTTTAAACCTTTTGACAGTTGCACAATCTCTCTGAAGTAGTTTCCTTGTGTGTAAAATAAAAGGTTAGACTATATGATATATGTAGCCTGCTTTAGCCTTTATTGTTTTCTGATATCTTTCTTATTTTTCTGATTCCTTCAACTGTTCTTTATAAGATTTAATAAAGCTACATCAAAACAAAAATACAACCCAATGATTTGGGATATTATTCCAGTTTCCAGATCCATGATATTGCACTGCTTTCTTATAGTGTTTCTTTCACAGATTAAATATTTCAGTCTTCATTTAGGTTGGGTTTTACACACAAGGAATCAAATGATTAGCAGTCTCAGGAGAATAGTCAAATGGGCCATATATATAGCCCAGCAAGTTTAGATGATAAGAATAATTTTCAATGCAGATATAGTCCTTTCCTTAGCAGATTACTCATAAAGAACTAGGGTTGGAATATCAATAATAAGTGGAAAAACACAATCTTCAGTGTGAAAATTCTGATACTGATTTATTTGGTGAGGTTGGAAAAATTATATGACCTTTCTCAGTCCTAATTGCCATTCTGTAAAATTGCATGCTAAGAATATCAATGATGGGATAGAAGCACTGGCTCCATGCTTGAAATATAACAGAAAAGGTATTTTCTGAAATAAATATTCTATTGCATGATGCAAAGAAATTTCCAGAAGGAAAGAAATAAAAAAAAATATTTAAAATGAAATGCTTATCTTGGATTTTTTTGAATAATTCTAGAACAGACAATATTGTACCCATTAAACCATGAACTAAGGGAAGAACAACTGCTCCATATTCATTCCCCAAATTCTCACTGTTACTAGCTTATGCCTAGTTTAAACCAGGATCAGTTTCTTCTAGATTTTCCTTTTTCTTAATGTACAGAAAAGTACAGAAAGGATTAATGTTGATGGCAAGTGGTCAAGATAATATTATCTAATACAGCCAGACCTTTAGATTTCCACTTCCTATAGAAGTTCAGTATCTTTCCCTTGCTAATATTTTTTGACTTGATAAAGACTCCAAATCACAACATTTTGGGAATTGTGGTGAAGAAAATGATGTAACTACAAAAAGAAAATTGCATTTGTGGTTGGTGGAAGGAAATCTACGAAATGAATAACAGTGTCCAGAACAAAAATAAATTAGAGAAATGCAGATGAACTTTGATGTTGCACTCACAATACTTATTGGTTTTGTTGAGACAGAAAAGAGAACAAATAAATATTATATATCAAACACCTTCAATTATCAAAGTCAAAACCCATATTACACTGGCTTATAACATAAGCCAAGGAAAAGATATAAAAATATAGTCAGAAAAACTTGGGTATTTTTTTTTGGTGTTCTGAGTTGGGTATGTCTCCTTAATGAATTGTGCCTGAAAAGATGAACAATATTATAAATGTCTACCCACCCAGCTCAGAATAAAGAAAATGAAACTCATTTATCTCAATTGTTTGATAAGCCAGAGATATTTTAGACAGAAGTTATAAACTCATGGGATTTTTGTTTATCTGATGTGAATAATAAAAGGAAAATACTAGATGCCAGTTTGCATAGAGACAGCAAACTACAATTGTCTATTAACAAGATGGATAGTGGCAGGATTTTAAAACAAAATTTTTTAAAAGAACTACTATTTTCTGTGAAATTAAATAAACCTGACTATTGGAGGTAAATAATTTTTGAAGTTAGTGGGAACAATTCTCATTACATTGCATAACAAGTGTGGATAAAATAATTAGTTTTATTTTAGGGCAAGCTGTTACAATATAGTTTTCAGTGGTTTTAGAGTTCAGACTGATATATAAATCTTACCAATCCTTCAAGTAGGAGGTACAGTCACACCTCACTCCTGAGGGAGCTATTTGTGTTAAAGAGGATGTTCCTTCTGGGTGACAAATAATTTATTCAATGATAAAAAAGTACTTTCTCCTTTTAGAAATACGATGCCATTAATTTAATTCTATTTGTTAAAGAAGATCTAAAGAGTGAATATTATGCAAGATTTCTATAAATGAAAGACCCTAAGGTCAAATGATTGCAGAAAACATTGGACACTGTACCCCCAAGTAAAAAGTCACATTTGGACGTAGAACATTTAATGTACTCTGAAATATCTTATAGTAAATATATCTAAACTGCTTGTATAAGATATTATCCAAAGAACATAGTTTTTAGGAAAAAATTTTTTTTTGAAATTAGATGTTTTTTATTTTTATTTTTTTAATTTTTTTATTATACTTGAAGTTCTAGGGTACATGTGCACAATGTGCAGGTTTGTTACATGTGTATACATGTGCCATGTTTGTGTGCTGCACCCATTAACTCATCATTTACATTAGGTATATCTCCTAATGCTTTTGTATGGTGTGTCCATAGCACAATTCCAACACAAGCTCCTTTTATAAGAACAGTATAATTAGATAGAACAAAAAAGAATACTTAAATAAACAATCAGTAGATTTGAATATAGAAGAAAACATCTCTTTTATCTCTTTAAGATAGATACAAGAATGAGTCAGGAACTAATTAACACATGATAAAAGATGATGGAGATAGAAATAACAAACTCAGAAGACAAAAATAAATGCCTTACCACCACCTTGCACTAATCTGTCTTCTCAGGCAGCCAGGTTAGTGTTTAACATTTTTTTAGGAGGTCTGTTCGTTATAGGTAGCCTATGTGACTTCTGGAATAAAGTAACAGCTAGAAGAACCATCCTTGTCTATCAAAAGAGAGATTGAAATTAAATGTATATTAAAAGTATTTTCTTAAAAAACAGGCAAAATATTTTGTTGTAAGTTACAAAATGTGCTGAAGGGCTAAAGTGAATTAAATTTTATATCTTTTAAGAGAATAACTAAATATGAATTTATTTTGCAATGTAAGATTGTCAAATCTCTGTAGCTAGAGAGCAAAGCATCAATGAATGGAACAATCTTTTTTAAAATAGAATTTATAGTTTTTGAAGAGACACAGAAAATTTCTATAAATAAGGTAAGTAAACAAAAAGTGTACAATGAATATGTTATCATTCAGTACATTTTATAGTTGAATAATGATAGGTATTTGAAGGAAGGATTTTTAGAAGAAAATAGTTACTTTAAAAATTTAAAGTGCCTACTAGGTAGAAATTATAGTTTATTAAGTTGCAAGATCTTTTAAAATAAAACTTATAAGCTGATAAGTTTAACAGCATAGATTAAAATTCTAAAATGAAGAACTAAATATGGCTTAAGTTGTATTCATATTTCTGTAGTGTCCATAATTAACAATTGTTCTTGAATCCATGCATGAACTAAATTGTCAAATTATGTTTTATGTTATAGATTTGAGTAAGGTATGCATAGATAGTATTTTAAATTTGTCATGGATAAATCTGACTGTACCAGTTAGGGCAGGCTAGATTATGTTGCAGTAGCCAATGGCTACAGATGTGAATAGCTTAAAACAACTAAAGTTCTCCTCTTGCATCAGCATGTCCTGGATGTGAGACATGGGGTTAAAAGAGATTACTTTGGAGTTTTAATTTTGATGTCTCCCCTGCTGGATTTTGGACTTGCATGAGCCCTGTAGCCCCTTTGTTTTGGCCAATTTATTCCATTTAGAATGGTAGCGTTTATCCAATGCCTGTACCCCCATTGTATTGTGAAAGTAAATAACTTGCTTTTGATTTTACAGGCTCATTGGCAGAAGGGAATTGTGTTGTCTCAGATGAGACTTTGGACTTGGACTTTTGGGTTAATGCTGAAATGAGTTGAAATTTTGAAGGACCTTTGGGAAGGCATGACTGTGTTTTGAAGTGTGAGGAGATAAGATTTGGAAGGTGGTAGAAGTGGAATAATAAGGTTTGGCTGTGTCTTCACCCAAGCCTTATACTGAACTGTAATTACCATATCCCCATTTGTTGAGGGAGGAGCCTGGTAGGAGGTGATTGGATCATGGGGGCAGATTCCTACATGCGGTTCTCATTTTAGTGAGTGAGTTCTCACAAGATCTGATGGTTTTATAAATCAGATTCCTGTTCTTGCTCACTCTCTCTCAACTGCCATTATGTAAGTTGTGCCTCTTCCTCTTCCACCATGATTGTAAGTTTCCAGAGGTTTCCCCAGCCATGCAGAACTTTGAGTCAATTAAACCCCCTGTCTTTTAAATTACCCAGTCTCAGGTATGTCTTTATTGCCATGAAAATTGACTAATACAAAAGGTAATTTATGTAATAGAATCAGAATATCTAGAGGTAAAAAATATAATATCTAAAATTTTAAAAAGTCTACTGAAATTAACAGCTGATTAGACATAGCAGAAAAGATTGGTGAACTTGACCACATAGCAAAAGAAATGACCTAAAATGCAATACAAAAAAATGGCTGAAAACCCTGAACTTTGTGAGCCAGT